>NW_003571057.2:0-195632 GCF_000001405.40 Homo sapiens
TGTCAGTTGCTTGGTGTGGTGAAGCAATGAGAGTGTTTTTTTCGGGGGAGGAGGTGTCAGATAGATCAAGAATTTATAATTAGCATAAGAAATGTACTTCTTAACAAAGCCAGCCTGGGCAACATAGTGAGATTCCCATCTCTACAAAAAAAAAAAAAAAAAAATTAGCCCAGTGTGGTGGTGCACACCTGTGGCCCCAGCTACTTGGGAGGCTGAGGCAGGAGGATTGCTTGAGCCTGGGAGGTCAAGGCTGCAGTGAGCTATGATTGTGCCACTGCACTCCAGTCTGTGTGACAGTGCAAGACCCTGTCTCAAAAAATAAAAAGAAAAAAAAAGAAACATACTAAAAAAGGACACATATTAGCAATATGAAACAAGAACAATTTTCCATAAAGCAAGAGGCTTATGGAAATAAAAAGTATAAAAATACATGATGGTAAAAAATATATAACATTATCCTCTAACAGAATAGGCAGTAGGGTGGGTGCCGTGGCTCACGCCTGTAATCCCAGCACTTTGAGAGGCTGAGGTGGGATGATCACTTGAGACCAGGAGTTCGAGACCAGTCTGGGCAACATGGTGAGACCGTGTCTCTTTAAAAAAAAAAAAAAAAAAGGCAGAATTGATACAGCTGAAGAAAAATGAACAAGTAAGAAAATGTGGTGGAGGAACTTCTCCAGGAAGCTGATATAATTATATTAAGATCAGAAAAAATAAGAGAAAAGTCATCGTACGATATAAGGGACAGGTGTTTCTCAAAATCCAAAATCTTCTCTGCTAAGAGAATCCTGATTTTGTTTTTGTTTTTGTTTCTTGAGATGCAGTCTTGCTCTGTCGCCCAGGCTAGAGTGCAGTGGTGCAATCTCAGCTCACTGCAAACTCCACCTCCCAGATTCAAGTGATTCTCCTGCCTCAGCCTCCCCAGTAGCTGGATTACAGGTGCTCGCCACCACACCCAGCTAATTTTTGAATTTTTAGTAGAGACGGGGTTTCACCATGTTGGTCAGGCTGGTCTCAAACTCCTGACCTCGTGATTCGCCCACCTCAGCCTCCCAAAGTGCTGGGATTACAGGCCTGAGCCACCGCACCCAGCCGAGAACCCTGATTTTGTTCAGGTGTCAGTTGGCCACCCTTGTTCCTTGGAGACTTGGCCCTTTTCTAGTTTCAGGCATGAATCTTGATTAGTCTAAGGCTTAGTGACGTGCTGGTTGTGAAAGTGTGGTCCCTGAACCAGCAGCGTCAGCATCACCTGGGAGCTCGTCAGAAAGGCAAATTCTTGAGCCCCACCCCAGACCTACTGAATCAGTCAGAAACTCTGAAGGTGAGCTTTTCCTTTCTCCTCCTCTCCAACCTATGGTTTGACAAGTCCTCCAGGTGATTCTGATGCACACTGAAGTTTAAACACCTTTAGCCCAGTTAGGTAAACTCACGCCCACTGCTAGTGGTTATTTAAGGAAGGGGCTGGATGCAATTGTGTTTCTTGAGATGTGAGTGGAAATCTCGTGGGAGGCTTCCTCATGTTGGAGAGGGCCGCGTTGGAAGGGCCTTTCTATGCCCTTCGTCTGCTTTTTATCTCATCCTTTCCAAAAAATTAACTTTTTATTTATTTATTTGAGACAGAGTCTTGCTCTTGTCGCCCAGGCTGGAGTGCAGTGGCGCGATCTCGGCTCACTGCAACCTCCACCTCCTGGGTTCAAGCAATTCTCCTGCCTCAGCCTCCCGAGTAGCTGGGGCTACAGGCACCTGCTACTATGCCCAGCTAATTTTTGTATTTTCCGTAGAGACAGGGCTTCACCATGTTGGCCAGGCTGGTCTCAAACTCCTGACCTCAAGTGATCTGCCCACCTCAGCCTCCCAAAGTGCTGGCATTACAGGAGCGAGCCACCTCACCTGGCTTAACTTTTTATTTTAAAATAGTTCTGGAGGCCAGGTGTGGCAGCTCACGCCTATAATCCCAGCACTTTGGGAGTCTGAGGCAGAAGGATCTCTTGAGCCCAGGTGTTCAAGACCAGCCTGGGCAACATGGCAAAATCCCATCTCTACAAAAAAGTTTTTAAAAATTAGCATTTGCCTGTGCGTCCAGCTTCTCAGGAAGCTGAGGCGGGAGGATCACTTGAGCTTAGGAGGTCAAGGCTGCAGTGAGACACCATACTGGGATTACAGGCGTGAGACACCACTCCAGGTCTGGGTTCTCTTTTTTTTTTTTTTTTTTTTTGAGACAGAGTCTCACTCTTTCGCCCAGGCTGCAATGAAGTGGCACCATCTTGGCTCACAGCAACCTCCACCCCGCAGATTCAAGCGATTCTCCTGCCTCAGCCTCCTGAGCAGCTGGGATTACAGGCGCCCGCCACCAAGCCTGGCTAATTTTTATATTTTAGAGATGCCCAGGCTGGAGTACAGTGGTGCGATCTCAGCTCAACACAACCTCCACCTCCCGGATTCAAGTGATTCTCCTGCCTCAGCCTCCCCATTAGCTGAGATTACAGGCATGCACCACCACGCCCGGCTAATTTTGTATTTTTAGTAGAGACAGGGTTTCTCTGTGTTGGTCAGGTTGGTCTCCAATTCCTGACCTCCGGTGATCTGCCTGCCTCGGCCTCCCAAAGTGCTGGGATTACGGGTGTGAGCCACTGTGCCCGGCTGATCTTACATTTTCTTGTGCACTTATTCATGAGCTTTTTTTTTTTTTATGAAAATGAATTCCTACCATCCATTCTCCTTCCAAACTGCTCATACCCAGTATTCCCAAGGTTTTTGCACATGTATATAACAGAATGTCAAAGTAGATTCATTGCAATCTCAGTTTCTGCTCAGGCCCAAAGATTATAGATGCCAGCGAGGTCAGATCTCACAGTAAGGCCATTTCTGCATGACTTCAGGAGAAAATGCTGAAAACCTAATTTCCCCACACCCTTGGCCTCTTGTCCACCTGAAGGTAAGAAAGGAGTGTTGGGGGGAAGGGGGAGGGATAGCATTAGGAGATATACCTAATGCTAAATGACGAGTTAGTGGGTGCAGCACACCAGCATGGCACATGTATACATATGTAACTAACCTGCACATTGTGCACATGTACCCTAAAACTTAAAGTATAATAATAATAAAATAAAATAAAAATAAATAAATAAATAAAAATTAAAAAAAGAAAAAAAAAAGAAAGGAGTGTTGAGATTAGAAGGTATTTTTTTTCCTATTGGGATACAGGTGGTGTTTGGTTGCATGAGTAAGTTCTTTAGTGGTGCTTTGTGAGATTGTGGTGTAGCCATCACCCAAGCAGTATACACTGCACCCCATTTATAGTCTTTTATCCCTCGCCCCCCTCTCACCTTTCCCCCCAAGTCCCCAAAGTCCATTGTATCATTCTTATGCCTTTGCATCCTCATAGTTTAGCTCCCACATATCAGTGAGAACATATGATGTTTGGTTTTCCATTCCTGAGTTACTTCACTTAGAATAATAGTCTCCAGAGATTAGAAGAGTTTTTGTTTTGTTTTGTTTCTGTGTGTTTGTTTACGTAAGCTGTTGGTGTGCTGTGAGTCCCATCCTCTGTCCACCGTAGATGTGTGATGGAGGATGACAGTCTCTTCAACTGGACAATTCAGAGTAGTTATATGGGGTGAGGGGCGGGTCCAGAGAGGAATGGGGTCTGATATGGTTTGGCTTTATGTCCCCACCCAAATCTCATCTTGAATTGTAATCCCCAGGTGTTGGGGGAGGAACCTGGTGGGAGGTGATTGAATCATGGAGGTGGCTTCTACCTTGTTGTTCTCATGATAAAGTGAGTTCTCAGGAGATCTGATGGTTTTATAAGCGTTTGGCAAGTTCCTCCTTTGCTTGCTCTTCTCTCTCTCTTGTTGCCTTGTGAAGAAGATATTTGCTTCTCCTTCCCCTTCTGCCATGACTGTAGTTTCCTGAGGCCACCCTAGCCATGTGGAATTGTAAGTCAATTAAATCTCTTTCTTTTTTTTTTGAGACTGAGCCCCCCTGTCATCCAGGCTGGTGTGCAGTGGTGCAATCTCAGCTCACTGCAACCTCCGCCTCCTGGGTTCAAGCGATTCTCCTGCCTCAGCCTACCGAGTAACTGGGACAACAGGCATGCGCCAATAGCCGGCTAATTTTGTATTTTTAGTAGAGGTGGCGTTCACCATGTTGACCAGGCTAGTCTCGAACTCCTAACCTCAAGTGATCCGCCCACCTCAGCCTCCCAAAGTGCTAAGATTACAGGTGTGAGCCACCACACACGGCCTCGGCTATTTATAGCAGTGTGAGAACGGGCTAACACAGGGTCTTTCCTCACTGGAGAGAGAGGGTGGGAGGAGAGAGAGAGGGTGGGAGGGGAGAGAGGGGAGAGGGGAGAAATGGGGGAGGGGGGGAGAGGGGGGAGAGAGAATGAATATGAGAATGAATGTACCAGGAGCTTTTATCCTTTGCAGGAGCGCCACCTGGAGGTAGGAGGTGAAGTCTGCAGAGAGAAGCTGGAAATGTACTGACGGATCCCCAAGGATTCAGTAATGTGACCAAGTGGAGGAGCTGCATTTACAGGCATCAAGGGAACTGCAGGTGAGAGGTCTGCAGCCTTGCAAGAGAGTGGGGGAAGCAGGAGAAGCTCCACGTGGGGAGATAAAGGAAAAGCTGACCACGCTTCCTCCACGTTGCAGGCAACCTGCCGAAAGGATTTTAATCACTGAGCTGACACTGTATTTTTTTCTTGTATGTGACTTTTTTAAGAAGCAGCTGGAAGTCTTTATGACCTAAGATGACTATAAAAATTATGAGAAGGCCGGGCGCAGTGGCTCACACCTGTAATCCTAGCACTTTGGGAGGCCAAGGTGGGCGGATCACTTAAGGTCAGGAGTTCGAGACCAGCCTGGCCAACATGGCGAAACCCTGTCTCTACTAAAAATACAAAAATTAGCTGGGCGTGGTAGCACATGCTTGTAATCCCAGCTGCTCGGGAGGCTGAGGCAGGAGAATCACTTGAACCTGGGAGGCAGAGGTTGCAGTGAACCATGACTGCACCATAGCACTCCAGGCTGGGCAACAGAGCAAGACTGTCTCAAAAAAAAAAAAAGTTATGAGACTTGCTTTACATGTCACCCAAGGGCACAGGTAAAGAATTAGACCTAGGAGTTGGGTTGATAGGGCAATGGGAAAAAAGAAAAAAATTGTTTACTGAATCAAGGGAATAATCACACCTACATCTTTGCAACTCACGTGCTTACAACTAGGGCAACCAAATTGTTCCGGTTCGCCCAGGATTTTCTCTGGTTTAGCCCTGAAATTTCTGTGTCCTGGGAAATTCCTCATTTCTATTTTAAAACCGAAAGTCCCACATCCTAAGACACACACACACGCCCCTGCACACACCAATCCTGGTAAAACGGTAACAGTTGGTCATACTATCTACAACAACCCTATTCGAGATCTGTGTCTTCACGATGAGGAAAGGCACATGCAGTTCTGGAGATTTTAACACGTGTTCCCAAGGTCACACAACCTGCCCTTGTATCCAGCACTGAAAGCAGATGACTCTCCTCTTTCCACGATTCTAAGCCTCTTCCCGTAGCATGTCCCATGTGGAGGAGAAAAGTTAAGAAAATGAAACTGGCCAAAACTTGCTACTGCATTTGTGATTTTAGAAAGTAAATGATCAGACATTATTAAAATTATCAATGCAAAAAGAAAGTGAGACTGAACAGATTGTTTACCTTAACAAGATCAAGTTAAACTCGTATAGGGCTTATATATAATGCCGCTTAAAAGCTCAAGTTTATGCGGGGCAGTTTTGGTGGAAGAAGCTCAGGCAGTCCCTCTGGTGGTCGTTATAGATCTGGCCGTGGAACTGGTGGATATGAAAACAGAAGGTTCTAAAAACAGCAGAAAAGGGCAACAGTTCTTAGCAGGAGAGA
This sequence comes from Homo sapiens, assembly GCF_000001405.40. Classification (NCBI taxonomy): domain Eukaryota; kingdom Metazoa; phylum Chordata; class Mammalia; order Primates; family Hominidae; genus Homo; species Homo sapiens. Next base: position 5,910 of record NW_003571057.2, read on the forward strand.
CAGTGAGGAAAGCTGCAGGTTACTTGGAGACAGTCATCCCAAATGCATTAGAGGAGGTGTAAAAATCTGCCACAGAAGGAACAATGATCCATAGTCAGAAAAGTTACTGCAGCTTAAGCAGGAAACCCTTCTTGTTCAGGACTGTCATAGCCACAGTTTGCAAAAAGTGCAGCTATTGATTAATGTGATGTAGTGTCAATTAGAGGTACATCCCTGAGGTCTTTAAAACAAAACAAACTCAGCCAGGCACGGTGGCTCACACCTGTAATCCCAGTGCTTTGGGAAGCTGAGGCAGGCAGATCACCTGAGGCTGGGAGATTGAGACCAGCCTGGCTAACATGGTGAAACCCCGTCTCTACGAAAAATACAAAAATTAGCCCGGCATGGTGGTGGGCGCCTGTAATCCCAGCTACTCAGGAGGCTAAGGCAGGAGAATTGCTTGAACCCAGGAGGTGGAGGTTTCAGTGAGCCAAGATCGTGCCACTGCACTCCAGCCTGGGTGACAAGAGTGAAACTCCGTCTCAAAAAATAAATTAAATAAATAAATAATTAGCTGGACGTGGTGGCAGGCACCTGTAATCCCAGCTACTTGGGAGGCTGAGGCAGGAGAATCACTTGAGCCTGGGAGGTGGAGGTTGCAGTGACCAGAGATCGTGCCACTGAACGCCAGCCTGGGCAACAGAGCAAGATTCTGTCTCAAAAACAAAAACAAAAACAAAAAAAGGCTCAAGTTTATGAATGAACTGTTCATATCAGGTGATGGTCTTTCAAAATAATGACTGTTTTGTACCAACTATTGTGCTCATGTGATTGATTGAACAATGCTTCCAAAGAATTTGAAACAATAAGGCAAAGAAACCTAATGTTCATAACAGAAAAAAAAATTAAATGTATAGCACTAGAAAAATTGATTTTTTTTTTTTTGAGACAGGGTCTCACTCTGTCACCCAGGCTGGAGTGCAGTGGTGCAATGATGGCTCACTGCAGCCTCCACCTCCTGGGCTCCAGCGATCCTCCTGCCTCAGCCTCTAGAGTAGCCCGGACTACAAGCATGCACCACCATGCTCAGCTAATTTTTGTATTTTTAGTATAGACAGGGTTTTACCATTTTCCCCAGGCTGGTCTCGAACTCCTATGCTCAAGCAATCAACTTGCCTCAGCCTCCCAAAGTGCTGGGATTACAGGCATGAACCACAGAGCCTGGCATGATACTAGAAAAATTCTTTTTTTTTTTTTGACATTTAAGTTCAGGGGTACATGGGCAGGATGTGCAGGTTTGTTACACGGGTAAACGTGTGTCATGGGGGTTTGTTGTACAGATTATTTTTTTTCTAGTGTATTTACTACTTCCTGATTATCAGATTATTTTATCACCCAGTTATTAAGCCTAGTACCCACTAGTTATTTTTCCTGATCCTCTCTCTGCTACCACCCTCCACCCTCTGACAGGCCCCAGCATGTGTGAAAAATTCTTATAGTCTTCTAGAAAATACAATAGGTAGCCTTTGGAACATAGGGTATCATAAAGAGAAGCTGTAGAAAATATATTTCTTTGAATTTTTTTTTTTTTTTTTTTTTACAAATGATCACTATAATGTTTAAAATATGTTTACCACCTACAGTTGTGTGCTAGGGAAGCCATAACAAAATGCCCCCCACTGGGGGGCTTATGGGACAGAAATGGATTTTCTCACCGTTCTGCAGGCTGGAAATCCAAGATGGAGGTGCCAGTAGGGTCAGTTTCTCCCGGGGTCTCTCTGCTTTGTATGCAGATGGCCGCCTTCTTGCTGTGTCTCCACGTGGTCTTTCCTCTGGATGTACATATCCTGGTGTCCTTTTCTTTTTTTTTTTTTTGAGTTGGAGTCTTACTCTGTTGCCCAGCTGGAGTGCAATGACACGATCTCAGCTCACTGCAGCCTCTGCCTCCTGGATTCAAGCGATTCCCCTGCCTCAGCCTATCGAGTAGCTGGGATTACAGGCGTGCACCACCGCGCCCAGCTAATTTTTGTATTTTTAGTAGACATGGGGTTTGGCCATGTTGGCCAGGCTGGTCTTGAACTCCTGACCTCAGGCGATCCGCCCACCTGGGCTTCCCAAAGTGCTGAAATTACAGGCGTGAGCCACCACACGTAGCCCCTAGTGTCTTTTTTATGTCCAAATTTCCTTTTTTCACAACGGCCTCTTGTCTCTAAATACAGTCACATTCTGAGTTACTGGGAGTTAGGATTCAGCACACGAATTTTGAGGAGATGTAATTCAGCCCATAATTAAGCCCTATCCTCATCAGACTGATGATCTGTGCTTTCTCTGAACTAACAGGATTTATATATTCCTTTTTAACAGCAAGGAACTCAGGTTCTCCATGGCCCCTTTATGAAGTTGCTCCTGCTGGTACATGACCCTCAGTTAGTTTCCTGAAGTTATTTACAAAGCCACCTCCACATGTGTTGAGCCTCTTCAGTTTACTTCAAATCCTGGGCCTGTGCTGCATGGCGGTGCTTTCCACAGATTCATATGTTAGATCTTTTCTATTTTTTTTTCTGAGACAGAGTTTCCCTCTGTCGCCCAGGCTGGAGTGCAATGGTGTGATCTCGGCTCACTGCAACCTCTGCCTCCTGGGTTCAAGCAATTCTCCTGCCTCAGCCTCCTGAGTAGCAGGGACTACAGGCGTGTGCCACTATTCCCAGCTAATTTTTGTATTTTTAGTAGAGGCAGGGTTTCACCATATTGGCCAGGATGGTCTCGATCTCTTGACCCCATGATCCTCCCACTTTGACCTCCCAAAGTGTTGGGATTACAGGTGTGAGCTACCGCGCCTGGCCACATATTAAATCTTTTTTTTTTTTTTTTTTTTTGAGACAGAGTCTTGCTCTGTCACCCAGGCTGGAGTGCAATGATGGATCTCGGCTCACTGCAAGCTCCGCCTCCCAGGTTCATGCCATTTTCCTGCCTCAGCCTCCCGAGTAGCTGAGACTACAGGCACCCGCCACCACACCTGGCTAATTTTTTGTATTTATAGTAGAGATATGTTAGCCAGGATGGTCTCGATCTCCTGACCTCATGATCCACCCACCTCGGCCTCCCAAAGTGCTGGGATTACAGGCGTGAGCCACCGCGCCCGGCCTCATGTTAAATCTTGACACCCAATGTGATCTGAGAGGTTGGGCCTTTGGTGATGGCAGCAGCCACTCCAGACGGCTTGCTGCTGCCATGACGCCACCTGCCCCAGGGAGGCCCAGCCCGGGCTATACACGCTATGGAGCCGCAGGGAGCCCTGCCCCTTCCGAGTTGGGGCGGGAGCTCCCAGGGTGATGCTACAGCTGTCCAAACCCCAGCTGTGGATCCGAGCCTCCCTCAGATCGTATCACATATCAAGACTTACTCTTGTTGACAAAAAGAGTCAAACTCTATAAAATATTTGAAGAGATTTATTCTGAGCCAAATATGATAATGACCATGGCCCCTGACACAGCCCTAAGGAGGTCCTGAGACCATGTACCCAAGGTGGTCGGGGGGCAGCTTGGTTTTATACATTTTAGGGAGGCGTGAGGCATCAATCAAACACATTTGAGAAATACATTGGTTTGGTCCAGAAAGGCTGGACAATTTGAAGGAGGCAGGGCCTTCCAGGCTTTAGGTAAATTAAAACATTTTCTGGTTGACAATTGGTTGAGTTTGTCTAAAGACCTGGGATTAATAGAGAGGAAATATTCAGGTTAAGATAAAAGATTGTGGAGACCAAGGTTCTTTTGAAGTCTTATAGTGGCTGCCCTTAGAGACAATAGATGACAAATGTTTCCTACTCAGACCTTCAAAAGTTGCTAGATTCTCAGTTAACCTCCTCAGGATTGGGAGGTCCTGGAGGAAAAAGATCTAGCAATGTTAACAGAGATCCTTTACATATGCAAATATTCCCCCCCACCAAGGACAGCTTTGCAGGGCCATTTAAAAATATGGCAAAGAAACATGTTTTGGGGTAAAATATTTTTATTTTCTTCTTTGTTAGGTAATGTTATGCCAGAGTCAGATTGGAAAGTAAGTCACGATATATAGGGCTAAATAAAACCCATCTGATGAGAATTTATGGTTTGTAGGGCATGAGACCCCAGACCCCTTAGATAAGAATCTGGGCAAGATAAAAAAAAAAAATCAGAGCTGAGTCCTCACTATGGTAATTCAGTGAGTGTGACTACCAGCATAGATGTCCATAAAGGATATCCATTAGGGCCACCCATTTTAATAATGTTTGCCAGGACCCTTCAATCAAAACAAAATCCATTCTCAGAATAGCTTAGAATCAAAGGAGGACTTTTTGGGTTTTTTTGGTTCAAGAAGGATTGGGCAAGAAAACTGCAGGGAGTGAAGGAATGCTGAGCTTTGGAAGCAATTAGAACCAAGAAAACAAAAGCTGAAAGCACTGTTACTCACTCCCGCTTCCCGGATGCTCCCTGAGTCATCTTTGTGTTTCTCCATAAAGACTGGCTTCCTCCACATGGCGAGACAGATGGCCACCAAGAACTCCCAAGCTTAAAAAAGAATGACTCTCTGTGGCAAGAAAACAAAGAGACACTCCTCCCCACCTTGCTACTCCCTATGTGGCCTCCACACTGCAACCTGGGACTGTGTAGTGAGGGGAGGGGGAGCGAAGAAGTTTGCGTTAGTCTGTTTTCACACTGCTGATAAAGACATACCTGAGACTGAGTAATTTATTTTTATTTTTATTTTTATTTATTTATTTTTTTGAGACGCACTCTGTCACCCAGGCTGGAGTGCAGTGGCACGATCTCCGCTCACTGCAAGCTCCGCCTCCCGGGGTCACACCATTCTCCTGCCTCAGCCTCCTGAGTAGCTGGGACTACAGGCGCCCGCCACCGCGCCCGGCTAATTTTTTGTATTTTTAGTAGAGACGGGGTTTCACTGTGTTATCCAGGATGGTCTCGATCTCCTGACCTCATGATCCACCCGCCTCGGCCTCCCAGAGTGCTGGGATTACAGGCGTGAGCCACTGCGCCCAGTCAGTTTACTTTTTAAAAAAGAGGTATAACGGACTTACAGTTCCACATGGCTGGGGAGGCCTCACAATCATGGCAGAAGGTGAAAGGCACATCTTACATGGTGGCAGACGACAGAGAAATGAGAGAGCCAAGCAAAAGGGGAAACCCGTTATAAAAACCTCAGCTCTCCTGAGACTTGTTCACTACCATGAGAACGGCATGGGGGAATGTGTGGGTGGAGGATTAGCCAGGTGCTGAGGCAAGAGACTGAAGGCACAAACTGTTGCAGTATAATAAAGAAAATAGAATAAGAATAGTCATAATACAAATTAGATGTAGAGATGATCATGGACAATTATCAATCATTATTATAAACATTATTAATCATTAGCTTTTAATATTACTCTTTGCTGCATTACTAATATAACCTAGGAATAACCGGCGGGTATAGGGTCAGGTGCTGAAGGGACATGGTGAGAAGTGACCTAGAAGGCAAGAGGTGAGCCCTCTGTCACGCGTGCATCAGGGCCGCTTGAGGGGTCCTTGGTCAAGCGGTAACGCCAGTGTCTGGGAAGGCACCCGTTACTTAGCAGACGGTGAAAGGGAGTCTCCTTTCCTTGGAGGAGTCAGGGAACACTCTGCTCCACCAGCTTCTTGTGGAAGGCTGGATATTATCCAGGCCTGCCCGCAGTCATCCGGAGGCCTAAACCCCTCCCTGTGGTGCTGTGCTTCAGTGCTCACACTCCTTGTCCACTTTCATGCTCCTCCCGTACTCCTGGCTCCTCTTTGAAGTTCATAGTAGATAGCGGTAGAAGAAATAGTGAAAGTCTTAAAGTCTTTGATCTTTCTTATAAGTGCATGGAAGAAAACGCTGACGTATGCTGCCTTCTCCCTCTCTCTCTGCTTCGGCTACCTAAGAGGGAAGGGCCCCCTCTCCTGTGATCACACGACTTGCTTCACCTTGTCAATCACTTCGAAGATTCACCCTGCTTACCCTGCCCCCTTATCTTGTATGCAATAAGTATCAGCGCGCCCAGCCGTTATGGGCCACTACCGGTCTCCGCGTCTTGATGGTTGTGGTCCTCCGGGCCCAGCTGTTTTCTCTTTATCTCTTTGTCTTGTGTCTTTATTTCTTACAATCTCTTATCTCTGCACACGGGGAGAACACCTGCAAAGCCCCATAGGACCCTGCAGGAATCCACCCCCATGATTGAATTATCTCCCACTGGGTCCATCCCACAACACATGGGAATTATGGGAGCTACAACTGAAGATGAGATTTGGGTGGGGACACAGACACAAGCCATATATCAAGGTTGTTCCTTCAGATGCAGCAATCCTGGGAGCTTCTGGTTAGGACAAGATACAAGCAGAGACAGCTTCATGGGTATTGTAAACTCAATGTTTGTGTCCCGACAAAATTCAGCTGTTGGAACCTAACCCCAAGGTGATGGTATTTGTAATACGGGAGCTAAAAAGAAATTATTGAGGCAGACAGTGAGGGTAAGAGAGTCCTCAGTAAGGTTTCCTATTAATAAAGAGCAGCCCCCAAATAATTTCTTTTCTAACAGAAAGCAGCCTGAAACATCAAGCTGCAAGCATAGATAAACAAGCTAAAATCTTGCATCAGCTGTGCCAATAGAAAACGGATGCCTGGGAGCCGGGTATATTCAACATGGAGGTTCCCTCTTCCCTTTTCTTTGTCCCCACATGTGCAGTAAAAAAGCAGACAACATGGCCCCGGCCAGGCAGAGACCCTACCTACGTAATAAAAGATTAGGGTGGGATGGCCAGCTTCTTTGGGGGCTATGCAAACGTCATACCTGGTCCGACTAATCTCTCAGGCCCTATGTAAATCAGACAGCACCTCCTCAAGCTTGTCTATAAAAGCCCCATGCATTTCACCACAAAACCAGGGGTCCCACTCGGGAACCCCTCTCTTCTCTGTGCAAAAGAGAGAACTATTCTCTTTTCTCTTTCTTTTGCTTATTAAGCCTTCACTCTTTTTTTTTTTTTTTTTTTTGAGATGGAGTCTGGCTCTGTCATTCAGGCTGGAGTGCAGTGGCACGATTTCGGCTCACTTCAACCTCCGCCTCCCAGGTGCAAGCAATTCTCCTGCCTCAGCCTCCCAAGTAGCTGGGATGACAGGCACCCACCACTGCGCCCAGCTAATTTTTATATTTTTAGTAGAGATGGGGTTTCACCGTGTTGGTCAGGCTGGTTTCGAACTCCTGATCTCAGGTGATCCGCCCCCCACTCGGTCTCCCAAAGTCCTGAGATTACAGGCGTGAGCCACTGCGCCCGGCCCAGTCTCTTTCACTATGTAAGGACACAGCAAGAAGGTGCCAGCTATGAACCAGGAAAAAAGCCCTCAGCAGACACTGAATCTACCAGTGCTTTGGTCTTGGACTTCCAGCCTCCAGAACCATGAGAAATAACTATGTGTTGTCTGTAAGCTGCCAGGTCTTTGGTATGTTGATAGCAGCCTGGATGGACTAAGACACTCTCTCCTTCCCTCTCATGCCCTGGACCCTCATCAGGGCCAGAAGTGGTTGGGGTGATGGCCCAAGCAGACTTTAAAAAGCACTGGCCTAGCACAAGGGTTGGCACGCTAGAGCCCACAGCTTGTTTTTGCAAATAAAATTTTTTGTTTTTAAAACAACTTTCTGGGCTGGGCACGGTGGCTCACGCCTGTAATCCCAGCACTATGGGAAGCCGAGGCAGGCGGATGACTTGAGGTCAGGAGCTCAAGACCAGCCTGGCCAACATGGTGAAACCCCATCTCTACTAAAAATACAAAAAAATTAGCCTGGTGTGATGGCAGAAGCTTGTAATCCCAGCTACTCAGGAGGCTGAGACAGGAGAATCATTTGAACCTGCGGGGAGAGGTTGCAGCGAGCTGAGATCACGCCACTGCACTCTGGCGCCTGGGCGACAGAGCAAGACTCCATCAAAAAAAAAAAAACTTTCTATAGATACATAATATTTATGCATATTTATGACATACATGTGATAGTTTGATACATGCACAGAATGTATAATACTCAAATTAGGGTATTTAGGATATTCACCACCTCAAACATTTATCTTTTTTTTTATCTTTTCGAGACAGAGTCTCTCTCTGTCGCCCAGGCTGGAGTACAGTGGTGTGATCTTGGCTCACTGCAACCTCTGCCTCCCGAGTTCAAGCAATTCTTCTGCCTCAGCCTCCCAAGTGGCTGGGATTACAGGTGTGCGCCACCACACCCAGCTAATTTTTGTATTTTTAGTGGAGATGGGGTTTCACCTTGTTGGCCAGGCTGGTCTTGAACTCCTGACCTCAGGTGATCCACCCATCTTGGCCTCTCAAAGTGTTGGGATTACAGGAGTGAGCCACTGCACCTGGCTCATTTATCGTTTGTGTTGGGAATGTTTCAAATCTTCTCTTCTAGCTATTTTGAAATATACAATATATTGCTGTTAACTATAGTCACCCTTCTGTGCTATTGAACACTTGAACTTATTCCTTCTATCCAACTGTGTTTGTGCCCATTAACTATCCCACCCCTTCTAGCCTTTGATAACTGACTCTCTCTTTACCTTCATGAGATCTACTTTTTTAGCTCCTACATGAGTGAGAACATGAAGTTGTAAATAAAGTTTTATTCTAACACCGCCACACCTACTTGTTTACATATCAGCGATGGCTGCTTTCATGGTACAACAGCAGAGTGGGGTAGTCTCAGCAGAGATCCTACAGCCCACAAAGCTGGACGTGTTACTCTCTGGTCCTTTTGTTTTCTGCCCTCTGGTCTAGGAGTTTGCAGCTCTGGGCGTTTTTTGTTTTTTTTTTTTTTTTTTTTTGAGATGGAGTCTCACTCCATTGCCCAGGCTGGAATTCAATGGCGCCATCTCAGCTCACTGCAATCTCTGCCTCCTGGGTTCAAGCGATTCTTCTGCCTCAGTCTCCCAAGTAGCGGGGATTACAGGCGCCTGCCACCACGTCCAACTAATTTTTTATTTTTAGTAGAGATGGGATTTCACCATGTTGGTCAGGCTGGTCTTGAACTCTGACCTCAGATGATCCACCCACCTCGGCCTCCCAAAGTGCTGGGATGACAGGCGTGAGCCCGGCCGTTTTCTTTTTTGCTTGTTGTGCTTCCTGGAGATGCTCAGTAATTCTTACATTCTTTCCTGGATAGCTGGTCAATCATTATTTATTATTTCCTTGAATTGTTCTAGGAGGAAATGTGGGGTAGAAAGAGTATGGTGGGGTTCTTGGGCATGAATAATCCATAAATAAGTCAGATTTCTTTTTAAGACGAGAAACTTAATTTTATTGATATGGACGAAGAGCAAGGAAACACAGTATCTGCATCTCCAGATTTCCGATAACCTTGGCCAGCACGATCCCCCCTCCTTTAGTGGCCAGGGCTGTCTTCTTGCTACACTTTCAGTGCCGCATATTCATGAGATCCTGGGGGCTCCTGGGTGGTGTCTGAAGCTGCCTCAGACAGGGCGCTGGTGCTTAGCTCAGCATAGGTCACTCCTTGGGGGTCTGCCGTCTTTGGAGAAAATAGATGAATATTAGAACTGAGTGTTCAATATGGCAGCCACTAGCCACACATGGCTATTGACATTTAAGTTAATTACAATTAAATTTAATTTAAAACCCAGGTCCTCGGTCACACCAGATGCATTTCTTTTTCTTTTCTGTTTTTATAACCCTTTATGCCTGTGACATCAATGGATCTGCGTAAGCCTTTTTTCATTTTTTTTAAATTTTTATTTATTTATTTATTTTGGGACAGAGTCTGGCTCTGTCGCCCAGGCTGGAGTGCGGTGGCGTGATCTCGGCTCACTGCAACCTCCGCCTCCCGGGTTCAAGCCATTCTCCTGGCTCAGCCTCCTGAGTAGCTGGGATTACAGGCGCCCACTACCACGCCCAGCTAATTTTTTGTATCTTTAGTAGAGATGGGGTTTCACCATGTTAACCAGGATGGTCTCGATCTCCTGACCTCATGATCCGCCCGCCTCGGCCTCCCAAAGTGCTGGGATTACAGGCGTGAGCCACCGCGCCCGGCCCATGCATAAGCCTTTTAAATGGAGATTTTGGTTCCCATTAGGGGAGTTTCGTGACTTGTCTAAGACCACATGCGTGATAAACAGTATACATTTCTGTATGGGCTTAACCAGGAGGCACACACGACCAGCCCATTGTGGTGAGGGAGCTCTTGTGGGACTCCTAAGCGGGAGGACTCACCGAGAGAGATACCCTTTCCATATTGGATAAATCTGCCTCTGAGTGAGAAAGGAAAAAAAAAAATCAGTTCTCAGCTGCAGAAGTCAGAACTTAGTCTTTCTATCCGGTGATTCCCTTAAACTTCCCCTGTCCCTTACCGGCAGCCTCCTGCTCCGGAAGTTTGGAATGGCTGGTTCTGAAAGAGAGAGACACACGTGAAAGGATGGGATGTGAAGATTTCGGGGAGAGGGTGAGGGCAATGGAGGGGAGAGGAAGGGAGAAGAAGGGAGAGGAGGAAGGTCACAGAATGGGCTGGGGTGGGGGCTCAGGGTGCCAATCCCGGATGTGCCAATGGGTTCCCTTGAGAATGACATGGGAATAAGTGGAGCATGAGCTATGCCAAGCATCTACCTCTTGGTGGATTCCTCAGATGATGAACCTACAAAAAATGCAGGAGGAATTTACCTACCGAGAAAATCCTTCACTCCCCCTCTCTCCCTTTGCGTTCTCTGAGCTCACTGTGCTGGCTGCATCTGTAGATGATGAAGACTGAGAGGAAGAGGAGAAGGATGGAGATGCAGCTGAAGATGGCGACAAAGATGGTTCTGGTGTCTGGAGGGGGAAGAGCAGGTCAGGGAATCAGCCTGGCTCCTGAAATCCACTGATAGGGGCGAGCCGAAAAGCTAAGAGAAGCCAGACAGATGGCCTGGCTTCCAAGCCTGGATCTCCCACCTCGGAGCTGGAACTTCCTATTGCTTTGGGGAATTTCCTTAATCTTCTCCAAGCTTCTGTTTCCCCATCTGTAAAGTGAGGATAGCAGCAGTAGCTACTTTATTGGATGGTGGGTCAGTACCTATAGAAAGGGCTGGAACAGTGCTTGGCGCATAGGAAATTCCAAAAATTCCCAGGGAATGTTTGGTGCATAGCAATGATATTGATCATTTATTGTGAGCCAGCTCTGTTCCAGGTGCTCCATATATATATATACGTGTGTGTGTGTGTATATATATATATAAATGTATATATATGTGTGTGTATATATAAATGTGTATATATATATATATATATATATATATATATACATATATATATATATATACACACTTTTTTTTTTTTGAGATGGAGTCGTGTTCTGTCACCCAGGCTGGAGTGTGATCCTGGCTCACTGCAACCTCCACCTCCCTGGTTCAAACAATTCTCCTGACTCAGCCTCCTGAGTAGTTGGGATTACAGGCGTGAGCCACCACATCTGTCTGTGTAATCACTGTCTGAAATCCACTGATGGGGTGAGTAGAAAAGCTAAGAGAAGCCAGACAGATGGCCTGGCTTCCAAGCCTGGATCTCCCACCTTGGAGCTGGAACTTCCTTGGAGCTGGACATTTCGACCAATAGACTTTGAGTAAAGCAGATGACCCACTGTCATAGGGGTGGGCCTCATCCAATCAGTTGAAGACTTTAAGACTTTAAGAGAAAAGACTGAGGTCCCCCAAGGTGGAAGGAATTCTGCCTCCAGACTCAAGCTGCAATATCAAGTCTCCCCTGGATCCCCTGCCTGCCTGCCCTGCAGATTTCAGACTTGCCAGCTCCCCACAATCACGTGAACCAATCCATTAAAATCAATCTCTCTCTCCATATATGTATATACATGTATATGTTCTCTTTTTTTTTTTTGAGACAAAGTCTCACTCTTATCGTCCAGGCTGGAGTGCAATAGTGCAATCTTGGCTCACTGCAAGCTCCGCCTCCCGGGTTCAAGCAATTCTCCTGCCTTAGCCTCCTGAGTAGCTGGGATTACAGGTGCCCACCATCACGCCCGGCTAATTTTTGTATTTTTAGTAGAGACGGGGTTTCGCCATGTTGGCCACGCTGGTCTTGAACTACTGACCTCAGGCAATCTGCCTGCCTCGGCCTCCCAAAGTGCTGGGATTACAGGCGTGAGCCACCACACCCAGCTTATATCTATATGTTCTATTGGTTCTGTTTTTCTGGAAAACCCTGGCTAACACAGACATGATCTCAGCTCTTAACTTCAAACATATTTCCTTTTTCTTTTTTTAAAGGAGAGAGAGAGATGTGAAAGGACGGGATGTGAAGATTATGGGGAGAGGGTGAGGGCAATGGAGGGGAGAGGAGGGGAGAGGAGGGAGGTCACAGATGGGAGCTCAGGATGCCAATCCCAGATGTGCCAATGGGTTCCCATTGTTGCCCAGGCTAGAGTGCAGTGGTGTGATCATACTCGAATTCCTGGGCTCAAGTGGTCCTCCTCACTCGGCCTCCAGGGTAGCTGGGAGTACAGACCACCACGCCCAGCCAACTTCAAACACACTTCAATGAGCTCGTTGATGCCAGGTAATGAACAGCAGTGACACGGGCATGGAAGGCGTTTAGAGTGGGGAGGGGTGGGGCTCTCTGAAGGAGACATGATTCCCCAAGACACAGAACAAGGGATCAGCTGGGAGAATTCAGGGAGGATTCCTAATAAGAACAGGGTTAGAGCAGGGTAGAAAAGAATGACCAGTGGCCGGGCACGGTGGCTCACGCCTGTAATCCTGGCACTTTGGGAGAGTGAAGTAGGTGGATCACTTGAGGTCTGGAGTTCGAGACCAGCCTGGCCAACATGGTGAAACCCTGTCTCTACTGAAAATATAAAAAATAAGCTGGGCATGGTGGCGCACGCCTGTAGTCCCAGCTACTCAGGAGGCTGAGAGAAGAGAATTGCTTGAACCTGGGAGGCGGAGGTTGCAGTGAGCCGAGATCGCATCACTGCATCATACACTCAACTGACCAAGACTCCAACTCAAAAAAGCATCCCTCTCAGGAGATAAAATTTCTACCAATTAAAAAACAAAAACAAAACAAAACAAAAAAAACTAGTTCTTGAGCAATATTGCCATGCAAGTCTACATCATAGCGTTTTAAAGTCTTAACAACAACCCTGCAAGGTAGTACAATTATTTCCCTCCCACTGGTGAAGGGCATGCATTCCCGTGTGACTCCTGGGATTACAGCAAGGGTTGTGTCCAAAGCTCACAGCGTTGAGGAAGAGAGAGCAACCTGTTACTAAAGCTAGGCGACAGAGTCCATGCAGTTCCCCCCCGTTTTTTGTTTTTCTTGGCACTTTAGATTCAAGAAACACAAGTCGTGAGACTTTAAGGAGTAAGTAGCAGAAACGTGATTAAGGAAAAAAGTTGAGCAACTATAGAAGTGAGGCCCCAGAAAGGGGCTTCACCAAGACCCCCGCTATCTTTGTTAGTGTGCTTTGAGTCTGAGAATTTTTCCTAGGTGTGCAATGATCTGTGGTCACATTACAGAGCCAAGTCTGAGATGCTTCACACGCCTGGTCCTCTGCACCAACAGAGGGTCTCCCATCCAGACGCTTCCCCTACTTGGTTCGCTATGTTTGCATTGGCATTTCTACATATCTATATATAGAGAATTACCTATCTAATTTATCTATCTCGCTAATCTATCTACCATCTGTCTAGGTATCTATTATCTATCTACCTATCTATCTTTATCTGTCTCTGTACCTACTTACCTATCATCTATCCAATCTATCCGTCCTATCTAATTATGATTTATCTATCTACCTACTTGCCTATCACCTATCCAATCTATCTATCCTATCATATGTAATTAACTATCTGTCTGTCTAATTTTTCTATCTTGTTAATCTATCACTTATCTAGGCATCTATGTATCTATCTTTATCTGTCTATCCACCTGCTTACCTGCTGTCTGTCTAATCTATCCATCCTATCATATCTAATTATCACTTATCTATCTACCGACTTACCTATCATCTAGTTACCAAATCTATCATCTATCTAATGTATCTATCAATCATAACCAGTTATCTATCATCTATCATCTATCATCTGTATGTATCTGTCTATTCACCTACTATTATCTATTTAATCTATTCTATCTAGTTATCTATCTATCTATCCACCTACTTATCTAATTTTTCTATCTTGCAACTCTATCACCTATCTAGGTATCTATGTATCTATCTGTGTATCTGTATATCTATCTATCTATCTAGCTAGCTTTATCTAGCTACCTAGTTACCTATCATCTATCTATCTAATCTATCATCTATCTAATGTATCTATCAATCATATCTAATTATCTGTCTATCTAATCATCTATCTTATCTATTATATCTAGTTATCTATCATCTAGCTAGCTAGCTAATCTATCTGTATCTATCTACCTACTTACCTATCGTCTATTTATCTATCTAATCTATCATATCTAGTTATCTATCTACTTACTTATCTAACCTGTTGTATCTAGTTATCTATCTACCTACTTACCTATCATCTGTCTATCTATCTAATCTGTCCATCGTATCTAGCTACTTATCTACCTATCATCTATGTATCTATCTAATCTATCATATCTAGTTATCTATTTATCTGCCTACTTGCCTATTATCTATCACATCTAATTATCTATCTATCCCCCTCCCTGAAATAAGGTTCTTTCTGAGCTGATCATCAGGGAGCAGCAAAAGGAGTGGGGAGTTTGAAACAAGACATATTTGAGTTCTAGTACTGGGTCTCCTACCTCCTGACTTTGTAAATGTTCCCTTCCCTTTCTGGAATACGTTATTTTTTGGTTAAATATAAGGAGGGGGCAGAGAGCTAATAATATCTAACTTGAAGAGTTAGGTAATGATGAAAAATCCTGGCTTTAAAGCGCTCAGTCTAGAAACTGACTCATTGTGTCGGATAATGGGATTGTAGGTATAATGATGATTTTTTTTCACCCAATATTCCACCTACACCCATCTCTCTCTGTAATAGATTCTGTCAATGTTCCTCAACCCATGTTCCCCAGATCCCTTTCCCATTTTTATGCATTCTAGATCGTGGCTTCTTTCCCTTTCCAAAGTGAACATTTGTATCTCTTCTTTGGGGGACTGCCTGGGAGAACTCCAAATGCCTTGGAATTTACATGCCCGGGACAAACTGCCACTGACGGCTGTGGGGACCCCAGCTCCCTAGCCTCTGGTCTTCGACCTTCTCTGTCTCCACTGCTTTCTGCAGGATGGAGCCAAAGATACCATCTGAGGGACACAGATATCCCACACTTGTTTAATCTATTTTCCTCCCAGCCCTTCTTCCCCACTCCCTAAAATGTAATTTTCAAGCCAGGCGTGGTGGCTCACACCTGTAATCCCAGCACTTTGGGAGGTCGAGGCAGGCAGAGCACCTGAGGTCAGGAGTTCGAGACCAGCCTGACCAACATGGAGAAACCCCGTCTCTACTAAAAATAGAATATTAGCTGGGTGTGGTGGTGCATGCCTGTAATCCCAGCTATTTGGGAGGCTGAGGCAGGAGAATCTCTTGAACCTGGTAGGCGGAGGTTGCAGTGAGCCAAGATCACGCCATTGCACTCCAGCCTGGGCAACAAGAGCGAAACTCTGTCTCAAAACTAAATAAATAATAAATAAAATAAAACGTCACTTTCACACTAATGCTGTCTAAGAGCCTGCTTCTGGTGGAGCTGAATCAGAGAACCCCTCAAAAGCAACAATTTTTTTTTTTTTGAGACAGTCTCACTCTGTCTCCCAGGCTGGAGTGCAGTGGTACAATCTCGGCTTTGGAACCTCCCCCTCTGGGGTTCAAGCAATTCTCCTGCCTCAGCCTCCCAAGGAGCTGGGATTACAAGCACCCGCCACCTCACCCCGCTAATTTTTTATATTTCTAGTAGAGATGAGGTTTCACCATGTTGGTTAGGCTGGTCTCAAACTCCAGAGCTCAAGTGTTCTGCCCACTTTGGCCTCCCAAAGTGCTGGGATTACATAAGCCACCATGCCTGGCCATAAGCAACAATTCTATCAGTGCATCTCCAAGGACTTATGAAAACAGGGCAGGAACAGCTGCTCCTGGACTCTCAGTTTCCCCAGATGGAAGCAGAGAAACAGCAGCCTTGCCTTGTCCTTTCTGTTCTCCCCTTTTCCAGCCTACGGTATCTTTCACACAGCAATTCACTAGAAATGAGAAGTACATTATTGCAAAATTCTCATCTTCATATGACCCCATAATCAGCTGAACTGGGTTCACCCTGAGATGTCCACAGATCCTGGCCAAATGTTGCATCAGTATTTGCAAATTGCCAGAATAAATCATAACTTGCTACGCTACTAAAGTCAGCGTGAGCAACAAGATACAGCCTGACACGGGGCATAAATGGAGGCACAGGCACCAGAAAGAAAGTCAAGTCTTGTGTGATAAAATTCATCTTCATTCTCTACATTGCGATTGAACATAGAGTCGTTTTCTAGTGTGTTTTAGGCATATAAATACAGGCTGGGGACATCATACCTGTGCTTACAGATATTTTACTTTTATTTTATTTATTTACTGAAACAGGGTCTCGCTCTGTCACCCAGGCTGGAGTGCTGTGGCGCAATCACAGTTCACTGAAGCCTCAACCTCCTGGGCGCAAACGATCTTTCTGCCTGAGCCTCCCAAGTAGCTGGGACTACAGGTGCACACCACCACGCCTGGCTAATTTTTGTATTTTTTGTAGAGATGGGATCTTACCAAGTTGTCCAGGCTGGTCTTGAACCCCTGGGCTCAAGTGATCCTCCTGCCTCATCTTCCCAAAGTCCTGGTATTACAGACGTGAGCCACTGCGCCCGGCAAAGATATTTTATTCTGTTTAGAATTGTGATGATACAAATTTGAACTCAAAAAGTACATTTTAAGAAATTATATAATACCCACTGGGATGGCTATAATTTAAAAAAAGAAAAGTAAGTGTTGACAAGGATGTGGAGATATTGGAACCCACATATATTACTGGAAGGAATATAACATGATACAGCCACAATGGAAAATGATTTGGCAGTTCCTCAAAAAGTTGAACATAATAGTCACCATATGTCCTAGCAAATCCACTTCTAGGTACATACTCAAGATAATTTACAGCGCGGAGACAAACAGATACTCCTACCACAGTGTTCCAGCACCATTACTCGCTTTAGCCAAGAGGTGCAGACAACACAAATGTCCATCAAAAGAAGAACGGGGCCAGGCACAGTAGCTCAAGTCTGTAATCCCAGCACTTTGGGAAGCTGAGGCGTGTGGATCACCTGAGGTCAGGAGTTCGAGACCAGCCTAGCCAACATGGTGAAACCCCCTCTCTACTAAAAATACACAAATTAGCTAGGCATGGTGACGGGCGCCTGTAGGTCCAGCTACTCAGGAGGTTAAGGCAAAAGAATCACTTAAACCTGGGAGGCGGAGGTTGCAGTGAGCTGAGATTGTGCCACTGCACTCCAGCCTGGGCGACAGAGCAAGACTCCGTCTCAAAAAAACAAAAACAAAAACAAAAAAAAGAATGGATAAGCAAAATGTGGTCTATCCATACAATACGATGCTTTTCACCATGACAAGAAATGAAACATTGATGCATGCTACAGTACAGACAAACTTTGAAAACATTATGCTAAAGAGAAAGGAGCTAGTCACAAAGGATCACATAGTGTATGAATCCACTTACACAAAATGTCCAGAATAGACAAAATCATAGACACAGAGAAGCATATGAATGGTTGGAAGGGCCTGGTGGGAAAGTGGGAAATGAGGAGTGACTGCTTAATGGGTACAAGATTTTCTTTTAGGGTGATGAGAATGTTCTGGAATTATGTAGTGGTGATGGTTATACTACCTCATGAAGATACAAAATGCCAGTGAATTGGACACTTTACAAGGGTGAATTTTTGGACTGTGAATTATATATCAATAAAAAAAGAAAGAAAATAAATGATACAAGAGCTCAAAATAGAAAAGCTTCTCTTCCTCCTCCCCCTCACACCTCACTAGATCTCCCACCTCGTTTCTGATACTTCTGTGTTCCTCTCTCCCATTAGATTTCATATCTTTCTCAGAAAACGTTCCTGACGTGAATTGTGTTCGTAGTGCTAGGGTAGCAGACATTTCCCAAGCCTACTATCATGGAATAAAAACGTTTCAAATAGTTATCTTGCAAGAACACTTTGGAGGATACCTTTTTGAAAACCGATTATACCAGCACAGACTGCTAGCAACAACCTTCAGCAACTTTGGCTCTTTGGAGTAGGTTGCAGGAAGATTATGACTTGCTGAAAGGAAGGATGATTAAGCATCTAGATGCCAATTTATATTCTGCATTTGGCCCTTAAAGTCTGGATGAGTTCCTGTTTCAGCCGAATGCTGCCAAAAGCTCTAACTTTTTAATTTTTTTTTTTTTTTTTTTTTTTTGGAGACAGAGTCTCACTCTGTTGCCCAGGCTGGAGGGCAGTGGTGTAATCTCGGCTCACTGCAACCTCTGCCTCCCAGGTTCAAGCAATTCTCCTGCCTCAGTCACTTGAGTAGCTGGGAATACAGGCGCCCACCACAATGCCCAGCAAATTTTTGTATTTTTAGTAGAGACAGGGTTTCACCATGTTGCCCAGGCTGGTTTCGAACTCCTGACCTCAGGTGATCCGCCCACCTCGGCCTCCCAAAGTGCTGGGATTACAGATGTGAGCCACCTCGCCTGGCCCAAAAGCTCTAATTTTTATGAGAAACTCTGAGGACAGAATCTTAGTCAATTGTTAATGAATAAGCAACATTAGAAAAAAAATTCAATATTCACCTATTTTTGAGAATTTTAGAGTTATAACAAACTCTTGATTATATATATTCCTGAAGTACCTACTCTGCGTAGGTCCTGGTCCTACTCCCCAAATGGGTCACTGAAAAATTCACCCCCATTATTCCCCAAATCCCACCCTAGTTTTTCATCATGTCATATGGCAAACAACGCACTCTGTGCTGTTTTACACACCAGCTTCTTCAGAACCCGGAAGCACTTTAGAGGTTATCTCCCCTCATCCTCCACCCCCCAAAACACAGCAGTTTCCCCAATAACATTGAGAAAATGGGCTTTAAAGTTCTTCTAGGCCGGGTGCGGTGGCTCATGCCTGTAATCCCAACACTTTGAGAGGCCGAGGCGGGGGAATTGCTTGAGGTCAGGAGTTTGATACCAGCCTGGCCAACATGGTGAAACCCCATCTCTACTAAAAACAAAAAACAAAAAACAAAACTGAGCTGGATATGGTGGTGGGTGCCTGTAATCCCAGCTATTCGGGAGGCCGAGGCAGGAGAATTGCTTGAACCCAGAACCCAGGAAGTGGAGGTTGCAGTGAGCTGAGATTGTGCCACTTCACGCCACCCTGGGGGACAGAACAAGACTCTTTCTCAAAAAAATAAATAGGCCGTGTGCGGTGGCTCACGCCTGTAATCCCAGCACTTTGGGAGGCTGAGGCGGGCAGATCACAAGGTCAGGAGTTCGAGACCAGCCTGGCCAACATGGTGAAACCCCGTCTCTACTAAAAATACAAAAATTAGCTGGGTGTGGTGGTGCGTGCCTGTAGTCCCAGCTATTCGGGAGGCTGAGGCAGGAAAATTGCTTGAATCCGGGAGGCGAAGGTTGCAGTGAGCTGAGATTGCGCCACTGTACTCCAGCCTTGGTGACAAAGCGAGACTCTATCTCAAAAAACAAACAAACAAACAAACAAACAAATAAATAAAGTTCTCCTTGTGCACTTTAAGCAAAGGTGATCATGAAGCAGATCTCATTGGGAAAAACATCTCCTTTCTAATTATCTTACCTGTTTTCATTGAGGGAGCTTCAAGTTCATCGTGTTTATCTAGAAAATAGGAGGGAAGAAAAGGAATTACACTAATCATACAGGAACCTTGGGGACAGGAGTCCTCACGTCCTACTTATAGACATCCTGTTCTTCTTTGGGAAGCAGAAAAGAGAATGGCTTCTCCATTCCCTAGATGCTCCCTGGGTCCTCAGAGCATGGACAGAGCCTCAGATTACTCTTCTTAATAGTCCTGGAGTTTGATAGTATTTTTAATAACAAAAATATTTATGAATGACCCTGCTAACGCCCCCTCCAGTTTGATTCCTTGCCAGTCTTCTCTATCTTGACAAAGAACACCATTCACCCAAATTCTTTCTTTCTTTTATTTTTTTTGAGTCTTGCACTGTTACCCAAGCTGGAGTGCAGTGGCATGATCTCAGCTCACTGCAACCTCCGCCTCCCGGGTTCAAGAGATTCTCCTGCCTCAGCCTTCCAAGTAGCTGGGACTACAGGCGCCCGCCACCACACCCTGCTAATTTTTGTATTTTTAGTAGAGACAGGGTTTCACCATGTTGGCCAGGCTGGTCTCAAACTCCTGGCCTCAAGTGATCAACCTGCCTTGGCCACTCAGAATACTGGGATTCCAGGCATGAGCCACTGCACCTGGCCTATATTTCTATCTCCACAGTGGCACCATTTAGTCTAAGTTAAAATATCACCTACTTGGCCGGGCGCAGTGGCTCACGCCTGTAATCCCAGCACTTTGGGAGGCCGAGGCGGGCAGATCACAAGGTCAGGAGATCGAGACCATCCTGGCTAACATGGTGAAACCCCGTCTCTACTAAAAATACAAAAAGTTAGCCGAGCGTGGTGGCGGGCCCCTGTAGTCCCAGCTACTCGGGAGGCTGAGGCAGGAGAATGGCGTGAACCCGGGAGGCGGAGCTTGCAGTGAGCCGAGATCGCGCCACTGCACTCCAGCCTGAGGGACAGAGCCAGACTCCGTCTCAAAAAAAAAATAAAAATAAAAATAAAAATGAAATGAAATATCACCTACTCACCAGTCCCTGGCAACCACCAGTTGCTTCTGTGAGTTTGGCTTTTTTAGACTACACATATGAGTGAGATCCTGCAGAATTTGTCTTTCTGAGTCTGGCTTATTTTGTTTAGCATGATATATGCGGAGATGTTGATGAAAGGGTATAAGTTTCCAGTTCTAAGATGAAGAAGTTCAGGTGCTCAGCATGGTGGCAATGGATGTGCTAATTAATTTGACTGTGATAATCATTACACAATGTACAGGTGGATCAAATCATCAGATTGTATACCTTGAATATATACAATCTTCATTTGTCAATTTGATATTTTTAAATTTAAAAAGTCGTATTGCCTGAAACGCACCAACTCTTACTACATCTAGTCCCTTATTTTCCAAAAGCAGCCAGAGGCCGGGCATGATGGCCTGTGCCTGTAATCTCAGATGCTTGGGAGGCTGAGGTGGGAGGATTACCTGGGCCTGGGAGGTCAAGGCTGCAGTGAGCTGTGATTGCACCACTGCACTCCAGCCTGGGCAACCGAGTGGGACCCTGTCTCAAAAAAAAAAAAAAAAAAAAAAGCAGCCAGTGACCCTTCCAGCATATAAATAAAATCATGCCATCCTCCAGCTCAACTTCATCAGTGGGTTCCTGTTCTTTCAAAGCAGACTCTAGGACCAGTTCAAACACCCACAAGATCCTAGATGCTCTAGGCCCTGCCTTATGTCCTCCTTTCTGTGTCTCAATCATTCCAGGAACACTCACACTTCTGAGACTTTGCTTTTGCTGCTCTCTCTCCCTGGAGGGCTGTTCTCCAGATATCGGTGTGGTTGGGTCATTCTCATCCTTCATGCTTGTGGCAGATAGACCCTAAGGGGGCACTCAGGAGACTCAGGAGCCCTGCTTCCTGGTGTTCATGCCTTTGTCTAATCCCCTCACCTTGAGTGTGGAGATCTGTGACTTTCTTCTCACCAATAGCTATGGCAAAGGTGATGGGATGTTATGCTCTTGATTATGTTACATTACATAAAACTCTGTTTGCTAGGGCATTTGCTCTCTCTTTCTTCTCTCTCTCTCAATCTCTCTTCTTGCAAGTGCTGCAGAATCATTCTAGCATGAATCCTACAGCTATAAAGAACCAGATATTGCTATCAACCACAGGAGTGGAGAAATGGACCCTTCCCCAGTCAAGCCTCCAGATGAGCCAGATGAGAACACAGCCCTTGTTGACACCTTGATTGCATCCTTATGAGACCCAAAGCAGAGGACTCAGCTAAGCTGTGCCTGGACTCCTGACCCACATCAACTGTGAGATAATAAATAGGTGTTTCAGGCTGCTAAATTAGTGGTAATTTGTTATGCAGCTGTAGATCACTAATACAATGCCTCTCACAGTTATTCTCCATCTATAATGTGTTTTTTAATTACTCTGATAGCTTGCTCTTATTTCTTTCTTTCTTCCAAAGAAGAATGTGAGCTCCTGTTGGCCAGAGACCTGGTCTGTCTCAGTTCCTACAATATGCTCAGGATCTACCAAAGTATCTGAATTTGTAGGGTGAATGGGCAGCTATTTTTGTGCCAGGTATTTTGCATTAATTTTTTTTTGTAATGGAAGCATTTATATGCCCATTTTGTAATAAGTAAAAAGTAGTATAATAAAAAAGTAAAAAGTAGTATAATAAAGTGATTTGCAAAGCAGCAAACAGATTGTATATGGAAGGCTGACCTGGAAAATCAACCACTGGAAATTGATACTATAGCCTGTCTTGTGATGTAATGGTACAGCTGCGATAGAGGTGAAGAAATCAGGAAACAGTAGATGATATGCCAGAGAACATAATTGGGAAATGGCAAATAATCGCGAGGCTTTTAGGGCTAAAGTGTGGGTGCAGAAATTCTTAAGACTACAAGAACGAGTTATGGGGAATACAATTTGAAATCAATATCAAAGTGATGAGCACCTTGTTGGAGTATCATTGATCAAGAGCCTCAGAAAGAGGGTAAATCAGAGGTGAAACATTAAGTATTCAGTTACTCATCATGCCCCAAGCCCAGGCTAAGTCATTGGTGTGGACCCACGGCTACTTCTACACTACACTGATGACTGTAAAGTCTCTCCAGGGATTTCCCATGATATGGCAGGACTGACCTACTGGAAGCAACTGTGGTCAGTTGAGAGGTATTGTTTAGTGACTAATAAATGAATGGATGAATGGATGGATGGATGGATGGATGGATGGATAGATGGATAGGTGGGTGGGGGTGAGTGAATGGGTGAAAGGGTGGATGAGTGGATGAATGGGTGGAAGGATGGACAAATGAGTGGCTGGGTAAATAGATGGGTAGGTAGGTAGATAGATGGATGAAGGGGTGGGTGGACAGATGAATGGAAGGGTTGGTGGTTGGATGGATTAATGGATAGATGAATGGATGGATGGATGGATGGATGGATGGATGGATGAGTTGATGGATAGATGGATAAGTGAGTGGATGGATGGGTGAATGAGTGGGTAGGAGGGTGGATGGGTTGGTAGGTGGGTAGATGGGTGGGTGGGTTGATAGATGGGTGGGTAGATTGATAGATGGATGGGTGAGTAGATAAATGGGTAGATGAAAGTGATGCAAAATTATTCTTTATCCCTCTTCCTTGGGATCTCAAGTCATGTATGTTACAATCCTCCCACGTGCATCTTCTCACTGTGGTCCTCATCATTTTTTTTTCAGTTACCTGCACCGTGCCTCCCATACTTTTCCACACAATGGGATCTCTTAGCCCCACAATCCATTATTTGCCATTCCTACATCCCTCATAGAGCACTGGACACTCTTTCTGGCTTTCCTTCTCTGGCATAATGAAATATAAATTTTCATTTATGTCTGAATAGCAACTGTGAAGCTCATTGTTTTTGTGACACCGGGGAGGTCACCTAATCTCTATGAGCAAAAAGAAGTTAGTAACACAACCACCCTCATAGGAAGTGAAGACTGAATGAGTTAGTGGAGGCAAGTTACCTGTCGTGGAGACAGGAACATAGAAAATGCTGGATACATGTCAAATGCCAGTGTTATCACTCTATCCTCACCTGTCACCCAGATCTCCAGCTTGTTGCTGGGGAAGGAGGCCAAGTGTGATGAGTTGCTCAGGTAATACACACAGCTGTAGTTTCCACTGTCATTACTTGTCACGTTCCAGAGCATGAAATCAGTCTGGTTTTTTCTTACTTGCCTGACTTGTAATGGTTCTGGGATCCCCATTTTCAACAGAGCAATTACAATACATTCGGTTCCATTGTATGGAGTGAGACATCGAAGTGTCCTGAGACCTGGAGTCATCCCAGGGTCTACATTGACTGAGAGCAAAGGTTCTGGGAGTGATCCTGAAGAGGACAAGGCAATGGAGGTAAAGAGAAGGGCCAGGGCTTTTCCATTTTCTACTGCACTTGGGGACTATCTCATCCATCTCTCCGTATTAACCATGTCTTTCATCTTCTGCATTTGATGCTTTAACATCTTGGGGCCTTGCTGCCCTTGGTGGGACCTCCCCTCGCAGGGTTAGTTAATTTCTAGAGCCAGTAAACAACTTGTCCTCAAGGATGTCCCTCAAATGCAAGCCAATAGATCCAGAGCCCATACTCTCAACCACCTTAATTATGGGGCTCTCACACTCAAGGTCAATGTTGTCCTCTCCTAATCACCCCAGGTCCAAGAACTAGACAACCAGGGACAGCCTCTACACCCCAAAGCCAATTCTTTTTTTGTTTTTCTTTTCTTTCTTTCTTTTCTTTTCTTTTCTTTTTTTTTTTTTTTTTTTTTTTTTGAGACAGGTTCTCATTCTATCACCCAGGCTTGAGTGCAGTGGCACGATCTTGGCTCACCGCAGCCTCTGCCTCTGGGGTTCAAGCAATTCTCGTGCCTCAGCCTCCCGAGTAGCTGAAAGCACAGGTGCACACCACCACACCCAGGTAATTATTGTATTTTTGTAGAGATGGAGTTTCGCCATGTTACCCAGGCTGATGTCAAACTCCTGACCTCAGGTGATCCACCCTCCTAGGCCTCCCAAAGTGCTAGGATTACAGGCATGAACCACCACACCTGGCCAACTCTAATCTTGTTCTCCCCACAAAATACAATCAAAGCTCTGGTCCACAGTTCTTCCTCCTCCCTCTGCCCCTCATTGACCCTGGTGCTTCCCCACATACTCCCCCCAGTATAGCCTTCCTCCTCCTCTTGGGAACTGTAACAGACCATCTTTTCCATGGCAATCATCACTTGGTCTGTCAGTCTTACCATACCCCAATTTTCTATTAACTGACCATATTCTACACCACCCTCCCACATCCACATCATTGGGACCCTCTCAGAATCTCTGATGAGAATCTTGCTCCACATTCGGTTCCCATTTCCACATTGAAGGTGTTGCATCTATCCTTCTTCTTCTTTTTTTTTTTTAGACGGAGTCTTGCTCTTTCATCCAGGCTGCAGTGCAGTGGCACAATCTCAGCTCATTACAACCTCTGCCTTCTGGGCTCAAGAGATTCTCTTCCTGCCTCAGCCTCCCTAGTAGCTGGGATTACAGGCGCCTGCCACCACGCCCAGCTAATTTTTGTATTTTAAGTAGAGGTGAGGTTTCACCATGTTGGCCAGGCTGGTCTCGAACTCCCGACCTCAAGTGATCTGCCCACCTCTGCCTCCCAAAGTGCTGGGATTACAGGCATGAGCCACCGCGCCGTGCCTGGCCTGCATCTATCTTTTTGTCTCCTAGATTCCTTCTTCCCCAGCCATGTCCCACGACAGGAAAAGAAATACGTGCATCAGGCAGGCTTTGGTGACTCACGCCTGTAATCCCAGCACTTTGGGAGGCCAAGGCAGGAGGATCACCTGAGCTCAGGAGTTCAAGACCAGCCTGGGCAACATAGATCCTGTCTCAACAAGTAATTTAAAAATTAGCCAGGCATGGTGGTGCTTGCCTGTACTCCCAGCTACTTGGGAGGCTGATGTGGGAAAATCGCTTGAGCCTGGGAGGTCGAGGCTGCAGTGAATTGTGTTCATGCCACTGCACTCCTGCCTGGGTGACAGAGCGAGATTCTGTCAAAAAAAAAAAAAGCAGCCGAGCGCAGTGGCTCACTCCTGTAATCTCAGCACTTTGGGAGGCTGAGGTGGGCAGATCACTTGAGGTCAGCAGTTCGAGATCAGCCTGGCCAACATGGTAAAACCCTGTCTCTACTAAAATACAAAAATTAGCCAGGTGTGGTGGCGCACCCCTGTAGTTCCAGCTACTCGGGAGGCTGAGGCAGGTGAATTGCATGAACCCAGGAGGCGGGGGTTGCAGTGAGCTGAGATCATGCCACTGTACTCCAGCCTGGGCAACAGAGCAAGACTCCCTCTCAAAAAAAAAAAAAAGGCTGGGTGTGGAGGTTCACGTTTATAATCCCAGCCCTTTGGGAGGCCGAGGCAGATGGATCACTTGAGGTCAGGAGTTTGAGATCAACCTCACCAATATGGTACAACCTCATCTTTATTAAAAATACAAAAATTAGGCCGGGCGCGGTGGCTCATGCCTGTAATCCCAGCACTTTGGGAGGCGGAGGCAGGTGGATCACAAGGTCAGGAGATGGAGACCATCCTGGCTAACATGGCGAAACCCCATCTCTACTAAAAACACAAACAATTAGCTGGGCGTGGTGGCGGGCGCCTGTAGTCCCAGCTACTCGGGAGGCTGAGGAGGGAGAATTGCTTGAACCCAGGAGGCAGAAGTTGCAGTGAGCCGAGATCGTGCCACTGCACTCCAGCCTGGGAGACACAGCAAGACTCTGTCTTAAAAAAAAAAAAGCAAAGCCAAACCAAAGAAATGTGTGCATCAAAGAGTACATCTGCCCTTCTCACCTGTGACCACCAGCTGCAAGTGTTCACTGCTTTCTGACCACTCATGGGAGGCTGTTGTCTTGTAGGCACAAAAGTACCTCCCAGCATCCTTAGGCTTCAGGTCCGTGAAGGGGAATTCAGCTTCGTTTTCTGCCGAGCTCTGTTCCTGCTTGTACCCAGAGTCGTTCACCTTGCGCAGCACAAATGTCACATTCTGGGAATGAGCCTGACACTTCAGGGTCACATTGCTCTCGGCTTCAACCACCGAGCTGGGCCAGGCGTGGAGGGAGGGCTTGGGCGGTTTCTCTGGAAACAATTCAGAGTTAATTTGAGTCTAGAATTCAGACGATTAAAGGAAAAGGTCATGAAGCGTGGGATGCAGGAATAAAAGTTTAAGTAGGAGAAAACTCACCATTCTTTTTCTCATCTTCGTAGCCCAGACACAGCCCTGGAAGAGAAATCTCAATGAGAGAAAAATTATGTGCTTGTCCTTGAGTACAAATCCAGCAGAGAACGTATGACTAGCTCTTTATAGGTCTGAGATATATATATATATATAATGTATATATGTATTATATATAATAAATGTATTAAGTATATGTACACATATTACATATAATACATATATAAATATAATATATATATTAAATATATGTATTACATATATGTATATATTTTTGGCAGATATCTCCCCAGACTTACCTCTTACTTTTGTTCCATTGTTTGTCATTCAGAAGCTACGTGTATGGAGAAAATTCCAGCAACTTCTTCTTTCTTTTTTTTTTTTTTTTTTTGAAATGTAGTCTTGCTCTGTTGCACAGGCTGGAGTGCAATGACATGATCTCAGTTCACTGCAACCTCCGCCTCCCAGGTTCAAGCAATTTTCCTGCCTCAGCCTCCCGAGTAGCTGGGACTACAGGCACCCGCCACCACACCTGGCTAATTTTTGCATTTTTAGTAGAGACAGGGTCTCACCATGTTGGCCAGGCTGGTCTTGAACTCCTGACCTCAGGTGATCCACACGCCTCGGCCTCCCAAAGTGCTGGGATTACAGGCGTGAGCCACTGCCCCCGGCCCAGCAACCTTTTCTGATGTATTGAATTGCTTTCATGAGTAATCCTTTCACCATCTAGAAATTGTTCAACATTCACCTATGCTTTTTTCTGGTATTTTCTGTGATTGCAGTGTTTTGTTTTGTTTTGAGACAGAGTCTCGCTGTGTCACCCAGGCTGGAGTGCAGTGGTGCAGTCTCAGCTCACTGCAACCTCCTCCACCCCCTGGGTTCAAGTGATACTCGTACCTCAGGCTCCAGAGTAGCTGGGACTACAGGTGTGTGCCATCGTGCCCAGCTAATTTTTGTTGTTGTTGTTGTAGAGATGGGGTTTCACCATGTTGCCCAGGCTGGTCTCAAACTCCTGAGCTCAAGTGATCCACCCGCCTCAGCCTCCCAAAGCGCTGGGATTACAGGCATGAGCCACCGTGCCCGGCCTGATTGCAGTTTTACCCTTGCCACTTAAATAATGCAAAGGTTATTTTATCGTGGAGTGAGAGTGGTGGGTTTTTTTTTTTTTTTTATTTTTCGAGATGGAGTCTCGCTCTGTCACCCAGGCTGGAGTGCAGTGGCGCGATCTCGGCTCACCGCAAGCTCTGCCTCCCGGGTTCACGCCATTCTCCTGCCTCGGCCTCCCGAGTAGCTGGGACTACAGGCACCCGCCACCAAGCCCAGCTAATTAATTTTTTTGTATTTTTAGTAGAGACGGGGTTTCACTGTGTTAGCCAGGATGGTCTTGATCTCCTGACCTCGTGATCCACCCGCCTCGGACTCCCAAAGTGCTGGGATTACAGGCATCAGCCACCGCGCCCGGCCGAGAGGAGGGTTTTCTTGCTCAATTCCAATAGAGAGAATCTGCTCCCCCTTCCCCGTGTCTTCTGGTCCCAAATACTCTCCTCACTTTAGCTTTGGTTTCCACTTACATTATCCCCTCCCTCTTCTGTGTTCTGTTCTCTACATTCCCCGCTGGGAAGGTAGCGTCTTAAACTTGGGTGGAAAATGGGATGTCAGTCATGGGGCTTGTTTCAGGGTGAAGTTACGTAGAATTTAGGTAGAAATTCTCTAGAGCCACGACAGTGTCTCAGGACATTGGTTCCTTGTTGACACAGGTGCCGATACAGAACGTGACCCCCCACCAAGCTTCACCACAGAGGAATGAGGTGGAGGCCTCACGATGGACCGAAGCTGCGTTGGCAGCGAGATTAGCTGGGATTGGCAGGTAGGAAACAGCCTCTGGGTGGGCAGGGCATCCCAGGACTCAGGCTCTGTTTTGAGACCCTCCCCAAATCCCGCTTTTAGATTCATGTCATCTCATCTCTGCTATCCACCCATCGTCTGTTCAAACAGTGATTCCTATATTCTTTTTTCTTTTTGAGACAGGGTCTCACTCTGTGGCCCAGGCTGGAGTGCCAGGGTGCAGTCACAGCTCACTGCAGCCTCAACCTCCTGGGCTCAAGTGATCCATCCATCTCAGCCTCCCAAATAACTGGGACTACAGGCATGCACCACCACGCTGGCTGATTTTAAAATTTTTTTGTAGAGATGAGGACTCACGATGTTGCCCAGGCTGGTCTCGAACACCTGAGTTCAAGTGATTCTCCCACCTTGGCCTCCCAACATGCTGGGATTACAGGTGTGAGCTACCTGCACCCAGCCCAATTCCCATATTCTTTTTCTTTTCTTTTTTTTTTTTTTTTTTTGACATGGAGTCTCCCTCTGTCACCCAGGCTGGAGGGCAGCGGTGCTATCTTAGCTCACTGCAACCTCTGCCTCCCAGGTTCAAGCGATTTTCCTGCCTCAGCCTCCCGAGTAGCTGGGATTACAGGTCCTTGCCACCATGCCCAGCTAATTTTTGTATTTTTAGTAGAGACGGGGTTTCACCATGTTGGCCAGTCTGGTCTCAAACTCCTGACCTCAAGAGATCTGCCCGCCTGGGCCTCCCAAAGTCCTGAGATTACAGGCGTGAGCCACCACACCTGGCTGATTTGTGTTTCTTGAAAAGAGAAGTTCAAGTTGTAACTCCCAGGACCTGCGAATGTGACCTTATTTGAAAATAGCATTGTCTGATCTTTGCAGATGTAATTAATTAAACTAAGATGAGGTCATACTAGAGTAGGCTGGGTATCTAATCCAATATAACTTACAAGAAGAGAAAAAGAGAGACAGAGACACACAGAAGGAAGACGGCCATGCGAAGACAGAGGCAGAGAGGCCAGGCTGCAATCATAGTGCTTTGGGATGCCAAGATAGGAGAATTGCTTGAGCCCAGGAGTTGGAGACTAGCCTGGGCAATATAGCAAGATCCCATCTCTAAAACAGAAATTATTTTAATTAGTCCAACATGGTGGTGTGCACCTGTAGTCCTAGCTGCTCAGAAGGCTGCGGGGAGGACTGCTTGAGCTCAGGAGGTTGAGGCTGCAGTGAGCTATGGTGGTACCACTGCACTCCGGCCTGGGCAACTGAGTGAGACCCTGTCTAAAGAAAAGAAAAAAAAAAACAGAGCCAACGATTGGAGTGATGCATCTACAAGTTAAAGAATGCCGGGAGCGCTGGCTCACGCCTGTAATCTCAACAGTTTGGGAGGCTGAGGCGGGCAGATCACCTGAGGTCAGGAGTTCGAGGCCAGCCTGGCCAACGTGGTGAAACCCTGTCTCTACTAAAAATACAAAAATTAGCCAGGCATGGTGGTCCATGCTTGTAATCCCAGCTACTTGGGAGGCTAAGGCAGGAGAATTGATTGAACCCAGGAGGTGGAGGTTGCAGTGAGAAAGATCATGCCACTGCACTCTAGCCTGGGTGACAGAGCAAGACTCCGCCTCAAGAAAAAAAAAAAATGCCAAGAATTGTCAGCCATCACTAGAAGAGGGGCATAAAACAGACGCTCCTTCATAGTTCTCAGAAGGAATCAACATTGCAAACACCTTGGTTTCAGACTTCTCATCTCCCCAACTTAAAGCAATTCTAATTCCTTTAAGCCACCAGGCTTGTAGTACTTTGGTAT
Organism: Homo sapiens; assembly: GCF_000001405.40. Classification (NCBI taxonomy): domain Eukaryota; kingdom Metazoa; phylum Chordata; class Mammalia; order Primates; family Hominidae; genus Homo; species Homo sapiens. Next base: position 36,704 of record NW_003571057.2, read on the forward strand.
GGCAGCCATTGGGGGATGAGGTCAGTCTCCTGGTTGCCCAGCTTACTGTGCTCAGCAGCTGGAGGCTTGGGTATGAACCCGATAGTCATCTCTAAGGCACAAATAGCCGGGTGCAGTGGCTCACACCTGTAATCCCAGCACTTTAGGAGGTTGAAGTGGGTAGATCACCTGAGTTCAGGAGTTTGAGACCAGCCTGGCCAACATGGTGAAACCCCATCTCTACTAAAAACACAAAAAATTAGCCAGGCGTGGTGGCGTGTGCCTATAATCCCAGCTTCTCGGGAGGCGGAGGCAGGAGAATCGCTTGAACCCAGGAGGTGGAGGTTGCAGTGAGCTGAGATCACACCACTGCACTCCAGCCTGGGAGACAAAGCAAGACTCTGTCAAAAAAAAAAAAAAATGCTCATCTAAGGTGCAAATGTGTGTAGGAGACGAGCATTACCCCACAAGGAAGGGCTGCACCCAGAAAAGGAGGAAGGAACTGAAGCAGACGAAGCACGTCGATGTCCACCGCACCCCCCGTGCACCAGGGAGGAACTGGGGCCTTAGGGAGGTGGAGCTCTGCTGGGTCAAGCCTAGAGTTTCTATGTAGTAAAGCCGAGATTATAACCCAGGTCATCCGTTTCACAGTGTGAGCTCTGTCTGAATACATCAGGTTCAATTGGAGGATGGTTAAAATCAGCCTAAGAATCGAGCTGGTCAGAAAATTGTCTTCTTGGGGCCAGGTGTGGTGGCTCACGCCTGTAATCCCAGCACTTTGGGAGGCTGAGGCGGGCGGATCACCTGAGGTCAGGGGCTCGAGACCAGCCTGACCAACATGGTGAAACCCCGTCTCTACTTAAAATACAAAAGTCAGCCGGGTGTGGTGGCCTGCACCTGTAGTCCCACCTACTCGGGAGGCTGAGGCAGGAGAATCGCTTGAACCTGGGAGACGGAGGTTGCAGTGAGCCCAGATCACGCCATTGCACTCCAGCCTGGGCTACAGAGTGAGACTCTGTCTCATAAATAAATGCATACATACATAAATAAATAAATAAGAGAGAGAGAGAAGAAAATTGTCTTTTTGCCCACAGCCTTGCACCCTGTAGATCCCTAAGCCCAGCCCTCCTCTATTCCGACGGAGGATGATGGCAGTACTGCGGTATTTAGCGGCTGCAGACTCGGAGACCCCACAGCAGCTCTGCCTTTCCCAGCGGAGTCTGTCCCCGTGTCTCTGCAGCGCGGCCTCCTCCTCGCTTGCATGTGGGCGGCAGAACTCACAGAACCCACAGCCCAGACCCACCCACCGCAGGTGTGCAACACCTGGAAGTCATTACTTCCACACACCGCATTTCCACCTGGACTGCCACTCCCACATGAGTTTTTCTCACCAGCCCAAGCCCATTCGTCCCAGTCCTGGAGACTCACCGAGGCAAAGCAGGGAGAGGAATTCTGCGGTCATAGCGTCCCTTCTGCCAGAACCAAGGCCCCGCCTTGGGTTTTACCCTTCAAAGGCGGAGCGGGACTGGGCCGGCCGCAGCTCTCCGGCTGCCCGGTTCGTCCCCAGGATGTGCAGATAGAGGAGGTTTTGCTCTGACACTCTGGTTCTCTGCCCCACTCTTGCAGTTTCCTTCTCACAACCGACTCAGGAAACAAGAAGCCGTCGATGATAACTTCTTCCCCATGAATCCGGTGTGTGTGGCCCCACCCGCCCGAGCTCTGTCCTACCTTATCTGAAGTTCTGCCAAGAGTTTTCTGTAAATGTAATTTTTTATTTTAAAACACTAATACCGGCCGGACGCGGTGGCTCACGCCTGTAATCCCAGCACCTTGAGAGGCTGAGGCGGGCGGATCACCTGAGGTCGGGAGTTCAAGACCAGCCTGACCAAAATGGAGAAACCCCCGTCTCTACTAAAAATACAAAATTAGCCAGGCATGGTGGCGCATGCCTGTAATCCCAGCTACTCCGGAGGCTGAGACAGGAGAATGGCTTGAACCCAGGAGGCGGAGGTTGCTGTGAGCCAAGATTGTGCCACTGCACTCCAGCCTGGACAACAACGGTGAAACTGTCTCAAACAAGCAAACAAACAAACATTAATACCTATAGCTTTATAGCTTCCGTGTACCCACTAGCCAGCTCCCCACAATGTTAACCTTTTTTTGGGGGGCGGGGGGGACAGAGTCTTGCTCTGTCACCCAGGCTGGAGTGCAGTGGCGCGATCTCGGCTCACTGCAACCTCTGCCTCATGGGTTTAAGGATTCTCCTGCCTCAGACTCCCAAGTAGCTGGGATTACAAGCATGCACCACCACACCCAGCTAATTTTTTGTAGAGATGGGATTTCACCATGTGGGCCAGGCTGGTCTTGAACTCCTGGTCTCTAGTGACCCGCCCACCTCAGCCTCCCAAAGTGCTGGGATTACAGGCATAAGCCACTGTGCCCGGCCAATGGTAATCTCTTATAATTACAGTACTTTTTTTTTTTTTTTTTTTTTTTGAGACAGAATCTCTGTCAGCCAGGCTGGAGTGCAGTGGCACAATCTTGGCTCACTGCAACCTCTGCCTCCCGGGTTCAAGCGATTCTCCTGCCTCAGCCTCCCGAGTTGCCGGGATGACAGGTGTCCGCCACCACTCTTGGCTAATTTTTTTTGTTCTTTTTAGTAGAAACGAGGTTTTGCCATGTTGCCCAGGCTGGTCTCGAACTTCTGACCTCAGGCGATCCGCCTGCCTCGGCCTCCCAAACTGCTGGGATTACAGGCGTGAGCCACCACGCCCGGCGTATGGCACATTTTCAAAACCAGAGACTTTGCACTGGCATCACACGTTTAACCAGGTTCCAGAGGTCACTCAGATCTCACCAGTTTGTGCATAATTCGTTTCTCTTTTTCTCTTCCTCTTCCTTCTATTTCTATTTCCTTTTCTCCTTTTCCTTCTTTTCTCCTGCTCTTCCTCCTCTTCCACCTTCTTTTCCTCCTCCCTTTTCTTTGCCTATGGGTATAGTTCTGTAACATTTTATTGCCTGTATGTATGGCTTTATAGAACCACCGCCACAATCAAGACACAGAACTGTCCCACCACCACGTAGGAACTCCCTCATGCTGCCCCTTTATAATCGCTCTCCCACCCTAGCACCTGCTAATCTGTTCTACGTCTCTATCACTTTGTCACTTTGAGACTCTTGTATAAATGGAATCGTCCATCGCCTCACCTTCTGAGGGTGACCTTTTTCACTCAGCACAATGCCTGTGAGATTCATTCAAATGGTTGTGTGTTATGATGATGGATACATTAGCCGGGCGTGGTGGCACACGCCCATAGTCCCAGCTACTCAGGAGGCTGAGGCAGGAGAATCGCTTGAACCCGGGAGGCGGAGGTTGCAGTGAGCTGAGATCACGCCACTGCACTCCAGCCTGGGTCACAGAGCAAGACTCCATCAAAAAAAAAGAATTATCTAATGGATACAATGTGTGTCACTGGGTTAGTGGATACCTGAAAGCCCTAACTTCATCATTTTGGAATCTATCCATGCAATAAAGTTACACTTGTACCCCATAAACGTATACAAATAAAAAATAATCGTCTGGGCATGATGACTTACCGCTGTAATCCCAGCACTTTGGGAGGCTGAGGCGGGATTACAGGTGTGAGCCACCATGCCCGGCCTATACTTTCTATCTTAATAACTACAAAAATAATAACTTGCTGGATGGGTCCCTGTGCCCACCCCGTCCTGTCCTAAGTGAGGAGGATGGGAAGAAAGCCATCGTCCTGTCCTGGTGCGGCTCTCAAACAGCTGGAAATGCTGGCTGCACAGGAAACTCTAAGGATCGGCAGCTCTAGCGCATGCTACCCTTGGCAGCTGTGTGGTCTGTGGATAGAGAAGGACCAACCTGTGGTTAGTGGAGGAAGAGGAGGAATATTGCTTTGATAAGCACATCCTCAGAGTTATAACAGAGGAGACAATAGTTATAAAATAAGAATGATATTTACGAAAAATAATAAGACTATTAACAAGAAACAGCAACAAATCTTGAAAACAAAATGTAACAACAAAACATAAATGTTGACTTTTTTTTTTTTTTTTTTTTTGAGACGGAGTCTCGCTCTGTCGCCCAGGCTGCAGTGCAGTGGTGAGATCTCGGCTCACTGCAACCTCTGCCTCCCGGGTTCCAGCAATTCTCCTGCCTCAGCCTCCTGAGTAGCTGGGATTACAGGCATGCACCACCACGCCCAGCTAATTTTTGTATTTTTAGTAGAGATGGGGTTTCACCATATTGGCCAGGATGGTCTCGATCTCTTGACCTTGTGATCCGCCCACCTCGGCCTCCCAGAGTGCTGGGATTATAGGCATGAGCCACAGCACCTGGCAACTGTTGACATTTTACATCTGCACCAGTAAGACTGGCTACCAATTACAAGCAAATGGATGCCATGGATAGAATGGAATTCCTGCCAAACTGGGTAAAATGTTGGAAACATATAAAATAAAATGTAAAAGAAATGTATTATAAATACAGGCTGGGCGTGGTGGCTCATGCCTGTAATCCCAGCACTTTGGGAAGCCAAGGTGGGCAGATCACTTGAGGTCAGGAGTTCGAGACCAGCCTCGCCAACATGGTGAAACCCCGTCTCTACTAACACACAAAAATTAGCCAGGCATGGTGGTGGGCGCCTGTAATCCCAGCTACTTGAGAGGCTGAGGCAGGAGAGTCACTTGAACCTGAGAGGGAGGTTGCAGTGAGCTGAAATTACGCCACTGCACTCCAGCCTGGGTGACAGAGTGAGACTCCCTCTCCAAAAAAAAAGAAAGAAAGAATGTATTATAAATACATATGACCAAGCACAGTGGCTAACGCCTGTAGTCCTGGCACTTTGGGAGGCCAAGATGAGAGGATCACTTGAGTCCAAGAGTTCGAGACCAAGTTGGGCCATATGGTGGAACCCGGCTTCTACAAAAAATACAAAATTTAGTCCGGCATGATGGCACACACCTGTGGTCCCAGCTACTCAGAAGGCTGAGATGGGAGGATTACTTTAGCCTGGGAGGTCGAGGCTGCAGTGAGCCGTGATCTAGCCACTACACTCCAGCCTGGGCGACAGAGTGAGACCCTGTCTCAAAATAAATAAATATAATAAATAAATAAATATGTATATCCCAATATTGGACTAAATGCTGGTCCAGAAGCACAAAATAGAAAGAACGGAGAGGAAGTATTAATAAATATTACACAGGAAGCAATGTTTTTCCCTTCGTGTGGAGGAAGAGTTCCCCGCAGGTGAGAGTCACCTACTACTCAATCTGACTCTGAAGTTTTAAGTATTGATTCAAGTTATCAAAAATGTATTAAGGGCTGGGCACGGTGACTCAAGCCTGCAATCCCAGCACTTTGGGAGGCCGAGGTGGGCTGATCACTTGAGCTCAGGTGTTCAAGACCAGCCTGGCCAACATGGGTGAAACCCCATCTCTACTAAAAGTACAAAAATTAGCTGGGCATGGTGGCAGGCGCCTGTAATCCCAGCGACTTGGGAGGCTAAGGCAGGAGAATCGCTTAAACCCAGGAGGTGGAGGTTGCAGTGAGCCGAGATCTTGCCATTGCACTGCAGCCTGGGTGACAGAGCGAGACTCCGTCTCAAAGAAAAAAAAAAAAAGTATTACGTGGCTCATTGTGCCCAATTCTGTCCTCTGTCCCCAGTGAAAAGTACAGGAAGAAGAAAGCCACCATCCTGCCCTACAGCAGATCCCAACAGAGCTGAGAGTGCAGGTTCCACAGAAAGCGGTTAAGGCTCAGCTGGTCCAACCCATCATTCCCTGGGCAGCTGTGGGATCTATGGCTAGAGAAGAACAGAGCTGAGCTTAGAGGGGAAGGAAGAGGAGGAAGATTGTTTTCTCCCGGCATCCAAACACAGCTTTTCAACCAGGGGGAGCACCACCCTCACTTCCCATCGCCCCATCCAGGGATATTTGAAAGGTATGAGAGTAGTGGCTTTTTTGTTGTTGTTGTTTCACAATAATTAGGTCTCCAACAGGTGTTCAATGGGAAAGGAAGTATTAGCAATGTCGAGTTACGTGTTCCTATAATGGACAAGACAGTCTCACATGGTGAAGGACTATTGCACTTTAAACACCATTTGTGGCCATGCCCGGTGGTGCACACCTGTAATCCCAGCACTTTGGGAGGCTGAGGCAGGTGGATCACTTGAGGCCAGGAGTTCGAGACCAGCCTGACCAATGTGGCGAAACCCCGTCTCTCCTAAAAATACAAAAAAATTAGCCAGATGGTGGCAGGTGCCTGTAGTTGCAGCCACTTGGGAGGCTGAGGCAGGAGAATCACTTGAACCTGGCAGGCGGAGGTTGCAATGAGCCGAGATCGCACCACTGCACTCTGGCCTGGGCGACAAAGCGAGACTCTGTCTCAAAACAAACAAACAAACAAAAAAACAAAAAATACCATTTGTGCCCATGTGGAGAAACGTGTGAAGTCCCCATGGTAGAGTCTGATGTTTAAAGAACCCCATATGGATTGAATGCACAGCAGGGCGGCTACAGTTCACAAGGCTGCACTGGGTAATTACAATTTGCTAAGAAGGTGGATCTTAAACAGAAAGGTCCATAAGCTAGATTGAGATAACCATTGTCACAATGAGTGAAATTTCTTCCTCGGCACACAATTAATTACTTAGTTAGTAGGAAAGTTCCCAGAAGGTGGATCTTAAACAGAAAAGTCCATTAGCTACATTGTGATAATCATGTCACAATTAGTGAAATTTCTTCTTTGGTACACAATTAATTATTTAGTAGGGAGGTTCCCAGAAGGTGGATCTTAAACAGAAAGGTTCGTTAGCTACATTGTGATACTCATGTCACAATCAGTGAAATTTCTTCCTTGGTACACAATAAATTACTTAGTAGGAGGGTTCCCCACCCGTAGGCTTATGGGGGTATAATTGATAAATCAAAATGGAATATATCAAAACATCACGTTGTACACAAATATAACTCCATTTTTATTTGTCGATTAGATCTCAATAAATCTGGAGCAGAAGAGAATTCCATATCTCTACAGCAGCCCATGAAAGAGAGAGGGGATCCGTGTTTTAACTTGGATCTGTTACTGGAAAGGGGTCCCAGTCCAGACCCCAAGAGAGGGTTCTCGGATCTCACACAAGTAAGAACTCAGGGTGAGTACACAGAGTAAAGTGAAGGCAAGTTTATTAAGAAAGTCAAGGAATATGGCTGCTCCATAGGCAGAGCAGTCCAGAGGGCTGTCAGTCGGCTATTTTTGTGGTTATTTCTTGATCGTATGCTAAACAAGGGGTGGACTGTTCATGAGTTTTCCAGGAAAGGGGAGGGGATTTCCCTGGAACTGAGAGTCCCTCCCTCGTTTAGCTTCTGGAAGTTGCCATGGCATCTGTAAGCTGTCTTGGTGGCGGTGGGAGTGTCTTTTAGCATGCAAATGCATTATAATTAGCAAATAATGTGCAGTGAGGACGACCAGAAGTCACTTTTGTTGCCATCTTGGATTTGGCAGGTTTTGGCTGGCTTCTTTGTTGCATCTTTGTGTCTTTGGGTCTTTGTGACCTGTATGTTGTGACCTGTCTCATCCTGTGACTTAGAAAGCCTCAACCCCCTGGGAATGCAGTCCAGCAGGTTGCAGCCTCAGTTTACCCAGCCCCGGTTCAAGATGGAGTCACTCTGGTTTGAAGGCCTCTGATTCACCTGGAGACACATTCCGGCTGTACCAGGCCTCCACCAGGAAAGCTCCCATGATAACCACAATTACGGCAGCCAGACCCAGTCGTACGAAGTTACCCAGGGAGTAGTTGCTCGATGTGGTACCTGGGGGAACTGAAAGAGAGAAGGGGCTCAGCACTGACCCTCAGAGGGTATCCCTCCTTCTCAAATGGCCCCACCAAATCTGACTATCATCACCCACTTAATGTTTTCGGTTTTTTGGTTTTTTTTTTTGAGACGGAGTTTTACTCTTGTTGACCAGGCTGGAGTGCAGTGGTGTAATCTCAGCTCACCACAACCTCTGCCTCCCAGGTTCAAGCCTCCCTGCCTCAGCCTCCCAAGTAGCTGGGATTACAGGCATGTGCCACCATGCCCGGCTAATTTTATATTTTTAGTAGAGACGGGGTTTCGCCATGTTGGCCAGGCTGGTCTTGAACTCCCGACCTCAGGTGACCCGCCCACCTCAGCCTCCCAAAGTGCTGGGATTACAGGTGTGAGCCACCGCGCCCGGCCACCCACTTAATGTTTTCTAGCCAGTAGTCCACTGTACTTTAAAGTTTTAATTGAACTTTTTTTTTTTCTTGAGATCAAGTTTTGCTCTTGTTGCCCAGACTGGAGTGTAATGGCACAATCTCAGCTCACTACAACCTCTGCCTCCCGGGTTCAAGTGATTCTCCTGTCTCAGCCTCCCAAGCAGCTGAGATTATGAGCATGTGCCACCACACCCGGCTAATTTTGTATTTTTAGTAGAGACGGGGTTTCTCCATGTTGGTCAGGCTGGTCTCGAACTCCTGACCTCAGGTGATCCACCCGCCTTGGCCTCCCAAAGTGTTGGGATTATAGGCATAAACCACCATGCCTGGCCATAATTGAGCTCTTTAAAGTTTTAATCCCTGAAAACAAAAGATGGAATCTTTGTTGTTGTTTTTGAGACGACGTCTCACTCTGTTGCTCAGGCTGGAGTGCAGCGACGCAGTCTCGGTTCACTGCAACCTCCACCTCCTGGGTTCAAGCGATTCTCCTGCCTCAGCCTCCCGAATAGCTAGGATTACAGGCACCTACCACCACACCCGGCTAATTTTTGTATTTTTAATAGAGATGGGTTTTCGCCATGTTGGCCAAACTGGTTTCGAACTCCTGGCCTCAAGTGATTCGCCTGCCTCGGCCTCCCAAGGTGCTGGGATTACAGGCCTGAGCCACCGCGCCCGGCCAAGATATGCAATCCTAATGAGTTGTAATGGGAGTTCCTTTATCTTCCTTCCTTGATATTCACTCCACCTTAGCTCTCTTCCTTCGTTTATTTGCTCTTTATCCCATTTCCACCTTCCCACATTGCCTTTTCTCCTCCCGCATCCTTATGTTAAGGAATAGTCTTGGGGCAGCACATGAGACGGAAGGAGCTCTACAGAGCCCCGAATTCCGTGGCTGGATCAGCATCCTCGCAGCCCACACTGCTGTGCAGCAGTGCACCTGAGAAAGTTTGAGTTGAGGCCGGGCACAGTAGCTCACGCCTGTAATCCCAGCACTGTGGGAGGCTAAGGTAGGAGGATTGCTTGAGGCCAGGAGTTTGAGAGCAGCCTGGGCAACATGGCGAAACCCCATGTCTACTAAAAATACAAAAAAATTAGCCGGGTGTGGTGGCGGGTGCCTGTAATCCCAGCTACTCAGGAGGCTGAGGCAGGAGAATTACTTGACCTGGGCCTGGGGTTGGGGGGTGGAGGCTGCAGTGAGCTCAGATTGTGCCACTACACTCCAGCTTGGGCGACAGAGTGAGACTCCATCTCAAAGAAAACAAACAAACAAACAAAACCCTAGCCTCCAGATTTTCAGGGAGGCTGATTTGAGTAATAATAAAACTCTGATTGGCCAGGTGCAGTGGCTCATGCCTGTAATCCCAGCACTTTGGGAGGCCCAAGCGGGCAGATCACGAGGTCAGGAGTTCGAGACCAGCCTGGCCAATATGGTAAAACCCCATCTCTACTAAAAATACAAAAATTAGCCAGGCAGGGTGGCACACATATAGTCCCAGCTACTCGGGAGGCTGAGGCAGAAGAATCGTTTGAACCTGGGAGGCAGAGGTTTCATTGAGCCGAGATCGCGCCACTGCACTCCAGCCTGGGCGACAGAGCAAGACTCCGTCTCAAACAAACAAACAAACAAAAAAACTCTGGTCTCCCACTTACCTGGCTCAATGTGTATTAAACTCTTTTTTGCAATTCCTCTGTCTTGATGAATGGGCTTCATCCAGGCACCCGGCAAGAGCTGTAATGTAACTCATTACAGCAGTTACAATAGATGAAAAATAATTTACAGAGCTGAGGAAGCAGAGTGCTAGCACCCAGTAAGGCAGGAAACAAGATACTTTCAGAAGAATTCTAGCAGTCAATAAAAGACATGGGTAGACTTCGCATCCACGGCATAGAAGCAGGAGGCTGTGCAAACACCATGTTCTGAGGATGAGATAATTTTTTTTTTTAATTTGAAACTGGGTCTCACTATGTTGCCCAGGCTGGTCTCAAACTCCTGGGCTCAAGCAATTCTCCAGCCTCAGCCTCCCAAAGTGCTGGGATTACAGGCCTGAGCCACCGCACATGACTGAGAAAGAATTATTGAGAGTGAAATCACTAACACCAAGAAAAACCAAAACACGCCATGCACAGTGGTTCACACCTGCAATCCCAGCCCTTTGGGAGGCCGAGGTGAGTGGATCACCTGAGGCCAGGGGTTCAAGACCAGCCTGGTCAACATGGTCAGAACCCCATCTCTACTAAAAATACAAAAATTAGCCAGGCGTGGTGGTGGGCACATGTAATCCCAGCTACTCAAGTGGCTGAGGCAGGAGAATTGCTTAAACTCGGGAGGCAGAGGTTGCAGTGAGCTGAGATCGCACCACTGCACTCCACCCTGGGCAACAGAGCGAGACTCTGTCTCAAAAACAAAATGAAACAAAACAAAACAAAAAACCAAAACGCTAAGAGATGCAAAGACTGGTAGAAGGAATCTGGTGCTGGTAGATTCATAATTTTCAAAAACAGCCTAGAAATTTTCCAAGGATGTAGTATAACAAAAAGGCAAAGGAGGGCCGGGCACGGTGGCTCACACCTGTAATCCCAGCACTTTGGGAGGCCGAGGCAGGCAGATCACCTGAGGTCAGGAGTTCAAGACCAGCCTGGTCAACACGGTGAAACCTTCATCGCTACTAAAAATAGAAAAATTAGCCGGATGGGTGGTGCAGGCCTGTAATCCTAGCTACTTGGGAGGCTGAGGCAGGAGAATCACTTGAACCTGGAAGGTGGAGGTTGCAGTGAGCGAAGATCGCGCCATTGCACTCCATCCTGGCAACAGAGTGAGACTCCATTTCAAAAAAAAAAAAAAAAAAAAAAGGCAAAGGAGTGGAAATTGTGAAAGGGAGGTTTTTTTGTTGTTTTGTTGTTTTTGTTTTTGTTTTTTGTTTTTTGTTTTTGAGACAGAGTCTCACTCTATTGCCCAGGCTGGAGTGCAGTGGCAAGATCTTGGCTCACTGCAACCTCCGCCTCCCATGTTCAAGCAATTCTCCTGCCTCAGCCTCCCAAGTAGCTGGGTCTACAGGTGCATGCCATCATACCTGGCTAATTTTTTATTTTTAGTAGAGACGGGGTTTCACTATGTTGGCCAGGCTGGTCTCAAATCCTTGACCTCAGATGATCCATCCACCTCGGCCTCCCAAAGTGCTGGGATGACAGGCATGAGCCACCACGCCAGGCCAGAAAGGGAAGATTTTGTTAAGAGCGATGATATTGTAAGTAATGAAGAAATGAGATTCACAGAAGAACAAAACAATCTCTGATTAAAAACAACACACACAGTTCCTCAAAACCATACACGCCCTTACCTGTCACCAATATCTCAAGCTGATCACTGGGTTCTGAGGCCCAGAAGGGAGACTTTGTCTGGTAGTACATGCAGCTGTAGTTCCCAGCATCGCCGGCTGTCACGTCCACCAGAGAGAAGTCTATCTCCTTCCCCGCTGGACTCTGCAGCTGGATGGGTGATGGCGTCCCTGCCTTCAGTAGAGCGAACATGATAGGCACAAACAATTGGTCTCGCTTCTGGCACTGCAGAGTCACCCTTCCACCTGCGGTCACTGTACCCCTTTGGTAGGTTCGGAGGAAAGGTTTAGATAAATGTCCTGTAAGAGAAGTCAGGTTCTGAGGTCCTGGGGAGAAGTCTGGAATCCCCCACTCACCCCTGTTCTCCTGGCCGGAGGCTCTCGTGGAGTGTGGGAAATGAGAGATTCCTGATCTCTTCTACCTTCCTCCACTTCCTACTCCGACCCCAGGACAGAGATTCTCCCTCCTACAAGACCTGTGTAAGGCCTGGCATGGTGGCTCACACCTGTAATCCCAGCACTTTGGGAGGCCAAGGCGGGTGGATCACCTGAGGTCAGGAGTTCGAGACCAGCCTGCCCAACATGGCGAAACCCTGTCTCTACTAAAAATACAAAAATTAGCCGGGCATGGTGGCAGGCACCTGTAATCCCAGCTGCTCAGGAGGCTGGAGCAGGAGAATCACTTGAGCCCAGGAGGCGGAAGTTGCAGTGAGCCGAGATGGCACCACTGCACTCTGGCCTGGGCGACAAAGTATAAAACCAACATATGCAATTTCGTTCCTGTCTCTCTCCCTCTCCCATCACCCCCAACTACTCTGAAGGTGGGACCCCTTTTCTCCCTCTGTTCCTCCACTTCCTCCCTCATCCCCTGTCCCCCGTATGTCATTGGCAGGCACCCTGTCTGTACCTGTCACCAACAGTAGAAGGACGTCACTGCGCTGTGAAAGGATGTGGGGGGATGCTTTTCTGTAGTATTCACAGGTGTACTCTCCAGCATTTCTGACTTTTAGATTATTGAGGTGAAATTCGGCCGCGCCCTCTGTAGAATCAAGGGGCTTCGGGGACTCCAGAATAATTCCTCCCTTCCTGAGAACAAAGCTCACACCTCTGGCAGGAGTCCAACATCGCAGCGTCACATTGCTGTTGGCAGGGACCACCGAGCTGGGCCAGGCACTGAGGGACGGCTTGGGCAGTGACCCTGGAAGGAAGCAGAGCCTGATGCTGGACCCGATGCCCTCCCCTGCTCTCAGGAAGCCCTTTTTAAAATTTATTATTATTATTATTATTTTGAGATGGAGTCTCCCTCTGTTGCCCAGGCTAGAGTGCAGTGGTGCAATCTCAGTTCACTGCAACCTCCGTCTCCTGGGTTAAAGCAATTCTCCTGCCTCAGCCTCCCAAGTAGGTGGGATTACAGGCACGCACCACCACACCCAGCTAATTTTGTATTTTAGTAGAGACAAGGTTTCACCATGTTGGCCAGGCTGGTCTCGAACTCCTGACCTCAGGTGATCCACCCACCTTGGCCTCCCAAAGTGCTGGGATTACAGGCGTGAACCCCTGAGCCCAATCAGGAATCCCATTTTAAGAAGGGAAGCGGGCTGGGTGCGGTGGCTCACGCCTGTAATCCCAGCACCTTGGGAGGCCAAGGCAGGCAGATCACGAGGTCATGAGATCGAGACCATCCTGGCCAACATGGTGAAACTCCGTCTCTACTAAAAATACAAAAATTAGCTGGGCGTGGTGGCAAGCACCCGTAGTCCCAGCTACTTGGGAGGCTGAGACAGGAGAATCACTTGAGCCCAGGAGGCGGAGGTTGCTGTAAGCCGAGATTGCACCACCGCACTCCAGCCTGGCGAAAGAGTGAGACTCCGTCAAAAAAAAAAGAGAAAAAGAGGGGGAAGGGGAAGAGAACAGCAGGGGATTTGGGATGACAGGCCAAGGAGGGTGTAGTTGAAGAAACACTCACCATCTCCCCTTGTGTCTCCTTGGCCCACGCACAGTCCTGCAAGACAATCCTCCGTGAGCCAGAAGCCCCTACCTGGAGCCACGTCACCCCCTGCCCTGACCCCTGGAGATCGTCCCAGAGTCTCCTGCTGAGAACAGACCCTTAGAGGTCATACGCTCAGGAGTTCTCATTCTCCCCACACTGGACTGTGGCTTCTGCTCGACTTCCAGCTCCTCCATCCTTTCCCAGCGATTCTCCTTGACCATCCTGTGTGGCTGTCACCTCCCCCTGCTCCAGGCCTTTCCCACAAATCCTTCCATTCTCATCTTCTGTTTGAAAACAGCACTCATTCTTACCATTTCTTTCTTTCTTTCTTTTTCTTTCCTTTCTTTCTTTCTTTTTTCTTTCTTTCATTCATTCTTTCTTTCATTCATTCCAGAGACAGAGTCTCGCTCTTTCTTTCTTTTTCTTTCTTTCTTTCTTTCATTCATTCTTTCTTTCTTTCATTCATTCTTTCTTTCTTTCATTCATTCCAGAGACAGAGTTGCGCTCTGTCGCCCAGGCTGGAGTAGAGTGACGCAATCTCGGCTCACTGCAACCTCCGCCTCCCGGGTTCAAGTGATTCTCCTGCCTCAGCCTCCCAAATAGCTGGGATCACAGGCATGCGCCAGGACGCCCGGCTGAGTTTTGTATTATTAGTAGAGACAGGGTTTCACCATATTGGCCAGGCTGGTCTCGAACTCCTGACCTCAGGTGATCCACCCACCTCGGCCTCCCAAAGTGCCGGGATTACAGGCATGAGCTTTGTGCCCAGCTTCTTTTTATTTTTTAATTTTTCATTTTATTATTGTGTTTTGAGACAGGGTCTCTCTCTGTTGCCCAGGTTGGAGTGCAGTGGCTCCATCATGGCTCACTGTAGCCTCCCAGGCTCAAGTGATCCTCCCACCTCAGCCTCCCGAGTAGCTGGGATCACAGGTGTGCACCACCACACCCGGCTAATTTTTTAGTCTTTCCCAGAGACAGAGTCTCCCTATGTTGCCCAGGCTCATGATCTCTTTTAATCCCTTCATGACTCCAAACAGGACAAAATTTATTGTTTGGTGTCCTGTAACAAGCCTCAAAACATCCAAATGGTCATTCCAGAAAGGGGAAAGCATACGTTCCTCCCTGTTTCACACATGGCTGCATTTGCTCTTCCTCCTTTTTAATTTTTTTTGATAGAGACAGGGCTGGGCTGGTTAAGAACTCTTGACCATGCCGGGCGCGGTGGCTCCCGCCTGTAATCCCAGCACTTTGGGAGGCCGAGGCAGGTGGATCACGAGGTCAGGAGTTGAAGACCAGCCTGGCCAACATGGTGAAACCCCGTCTATACTAAAAATACAAAAATTAGCCAGGTGTGGTGATGGGCGCCTGTGATCCCAGCTACTCAGGAGGCTGAGGCAGAGAATCGCTTGAACCCAGGAGGCAGAGTTTGCAATGAGCTGAGATCGCACCACTGCACTCCAGCCTGGCCACAGCGCGAGACTCAGTTTCAGGAAAGAAAAAAAAAAGAGAAAGAAAAGAAAAAACATAATATCAAGCCTGTTTATGAACATTATCATAATAATGAGATTGATCTAACTCAAAGAAAGTTAGTTAGGCCTGTGTCTCTGAGAGATTTCCTCTTTTTCCCCTGTGTGAACAGTTTTAGGTCTCAGCAGGAAAAAGGAGAAGTTACCAGGCGTTTGTGCTACTATTACATCCATGAGCCAATCCATAAACTGACACTTCAAGTTTTGCAAAAGGAAATTGTGAACACCCAAAATGTTCAAACAACGTAAGTGTCCATCCATGGAAGAATGGATAAACACAGTGTGCTCTATATATTCAATGGGATTTTTCTTCTTTTTCTTCGTTTTTTTTTTTTTTTTTTTTGAGACATAGTTTCATTCTTGTTGCCCAGGCTGGAGTGCAATGGCGCGATCTCGGCTCACTGCAACCTCCGCCTCGCGGGTTCAAGTGATTCTCCTGCCTCAGCCTCCCAAGTAGCTGGGATTACAGCTCACTGCAACCTCCGCCTTGCAGGTTCAAGTGATTCTCCTGCCTCAGCCTCCCAAGTAGCTGGGATTACAGCTCACTGCAACCTCCGCCTTGTGGGTTCAAGTGATTCTCCTGCCTCAGCCTCCCAAGTAGCTGGGATTACAGGCATGCACCACCATGCCCAGCTAATTTTGTATTTTTTAGTAGAGACAGGGTTTCACCATGTTGGTCAGGCTGGTCTTGAACTCCCCACCTCAGGTGATCCGCCCATCTTAGCCTCCAAAATGCTTTTTTCTTTTTCTTTTCTTTCTTTCTTTTTTTTTTTTTTTTTTTTTTGAGGCAGGGTCTCGCTCTGCTGCCCAGGCTGGAGTGCAATGATGTGATCCTAGTTCATTCCAGCATCAACTCCCTGGGCTCAGGTGATCCTCCCACCTCTGCCTCCCGAGTAGCTGGGACTACAGCTGCACACCACCATGCCCAGCTCATTTTTGTTGTTGTTGTTGTTTTTAATATTTATTTATTTATTTTGAGATGGAGTTTCGCTCTTGTTGCCCAGACTGGAGTGCAATGGCATGATCTCGGCTCACTGCAACCTCTGACTCCTGGGTTCAAGCGATTCTCTTGCCTCAGCCTCCCAAGTAGCTGGGATTACAGGCGCCCGCCACCACGCATGGCTAATTTTTATATTTTTAGTAGAAATGGGGTTTCACCCTATTGGCCAGGCTGTTCTCGAACTCCTTACGTCAGGTCATTGCAAAAAAAGTGCTGGGATTACAGGCGTGAGCCACCATGCCCAGCCTCATTTTTGTATTTTTTGTAGAGACAGGGTTTCACCATGTTGCCCAGGCTAGTCTCGAACTCCTGGGCTCAAGCGATCTGCCTGCCTCAGACTCTCAAAGTGCTGGGATTACAGGTGTGAGACACTGTGCTCGGCCTACAGTGGGATTTTAGCCATAAAAAGGAAAGGAAATCTGACATATCCTACAATATAGATGTAGCTCGAGGATATTATGCTGAGTAAACTAAGTCAGGCAAAAAAGAACAAGTGTTATGATTCCACTCATACATCCTAGAATAAGCAAATTCATAGAGATAAAAATTAGAATGGGCTGGACACGGTGGCTCACGCCTGTAATCCCAGCACTTTGGGAGGCCGAGACAGGCAGATCACAAAGTCAGGAGATCGAGACCAGCCTGGTCAACATGGTGAAACCTTGTCTCTACTAAAAAAAAAAAAAAAAAAAACTTAGCCAGGCATGGTGGTGAGCGCCAGTGATCCCAGCTACTCGGGAGGGAGAGGCAGGAGAATCGCTTGAACCCAGGAGGCGGAGGTTGCAGTGAGCTGAGATTAGGCCACTGTACTCCAGCCTGGGTGACGAAGCAAGACTCCATCTCCGAAAAAAAAAAAAAAAAAA
The DNA here is from genome assembly GCF_000001405.40 of Homo sapiens. Lineage (NCBI taxonomy): Eukaryota > Metazoa > Chordata > Mammalia > Primates > Hominidae > Homo > Homo sapiens. Next base: position 53,661 of record NW_003571057.2, read on the forward strand.
AGAAATTAGAATGGAGGTTACCAGGGGCTGGGAGGACCGCGGCAAATACAGAGTTATTGGTTAGAGGGTGTAGCGTTCATATTGGGAATTGTGATTGTTAATTTGATTTATCAGCTAGACCAGGCCACAGGATGCTGGGATATCTGGTTAAACATTATTTCTGGGCGTGTCTGTGAGGGTGTTTTTAGAAAGATCAGCATTTGAATCTAATGCTGAGTCGGGCAGGTTGGCCTTCCTAATGGAGGTGGGTATTCTGCTGAGGGCCAGGATGGGAGAAAAAGGTGGCAGAGCCACCACAGTGGCTCACGCCTGTAATCCCAGCACTTTGGGAGGCCAAGGCAGAAGGGCTGCTTGAGGCCAGGAGTTTGAGACCAGCCTGAGTAACATAGTGAGATCCCGTCTCTACAAAAAATTTAAAAATTACACGGGGCACTGTGGCTCACGCCTGTAATCCCAGCACTTTGGGAGGCTGAGGCTGAGGCGGGCAGATCACCTGAGGTGATCACCTGAGGGAGCTCAAGACCAGCCTGGCCAACATGATGAAACCCCGTCTCTACTAAAAAGTACAAAAAATCAGCCGGGTGTGTGGTGGGCACCTGTAATCTCAGCTACCCAGGAGGCTGAGGCAGGAGAATTGCTTGAGCCCAGGAGGTGGAGGCTGCAGTGAGCTGTGGTCATACCACTGCACTCCAGCCTGGGTACAGAGTGAGACTTTGTCTCAAAAAAAGGAAAAGGAGGGAAGGAAGGAAGGAAGTAAGGAAGGAAGGAAGGAAGGGAAAGAGAGAGAGGAAGGAAGGAATGAAGGAGAAAGAGAAAGAAAGAAAGGAAGGAAGGAAGAAAGAAAGAAAGAAAGAAAGAAAGAAAGAAAGAAAGAAAGAAAGAAAGAAAGAAAGAAAGAAAGAAAGCAAGCAAGCAAGCAAGCAGGCAAGCAAGCGGGGGCTCACGCCTGTAATCCCAGCACTTTGGGAGGCCGAGGCGGGCAGATCAAGAAGTCAGGAGATGGAGACCATCCTGGCTAACACAGTGAAACCTACGAAAAAAGCCGGGCATGGTGGCGGGCGCCTGTAGTCCCAGCTACTCGGGAGGCTGAGGCAGGAGAATGGCGTGAACCCGGGAGGCGGAGCTTGCAGTGAGCAGAGATCGCACCACTGCACTCCAGCCTGGGCGACAGAGCGAGACTCCATCTCAAAAAAAAAAAAAAGAAAGAAAGAGAGAGAGAGGAAGGAAGGGAGGAAGGAAGGAAGGAAGGAAGGAAGGAAGGAAGGGAAGGAGAAAAAGAAAGAAAGGAAGGAAGGAAGGAAGAAAGAAAGAGGTTTTAGTGTAGATAGTGGTGATGGTTACACAGCGGCCTCAATTTACTTTATAGTTATCTATTTGACACTAAATTTTTATTTATGGTATTAAGGTTTCTGGGCCAGGCACAGTGGCTCACATCTGTAATCCCAGCACTTTGAGAGACTGAGGTGGGCAGATCACCTGAGGTCGGGAGTTCGAGACCAGCCTGGCCAACATGGTGAAACACTGTCTCTACTAAAAATACAAAAATTAACCAGGCATGGTGGCGCACCCCTGTAATCCAGTTACTCAGGAGGCTGAAGCAGGAGAATCGCTTGAACCCGGGAGGCAGAGGTTGTGGTGAGCCGAGATCATGCCATTGCACTACAGCCTGGGCAACAAGAGCAAAACTCTGTCTCAAAAAAATAAAATAAAATAAAATAAAATAAGGTTTCTATTCTGAATACTTTTACTTACACACAAAAAGTCAGAGTTGATCCTGAGAAAAGGGGTAAGCCAATGAAGCCAGGTGGTGGAGGCATTCAGCAAAACTCACGAAGTTGAAACTACAGGAGTTGAAGTTTGCAGAGCACTCGTTTCCAGGGAATGTCTGCACTGCACTCAGCAGGACGTCTCACTCCTCCCGTGTGCTCAGTAAGCCAAAGTTGATGTTATTATTTCCATCCCCAGCCCAACTATCCCACCAGTTCCATGATTTTCTGCAGTCCCAGTGGATAGCCCTGTGAGACTTACTGAAACAGAGGAGGGAAAGCAGCTTAGGGATCATGATGGCTCCTTAGCCCTCCCAGAGTCCGTCTTGGGTTCTGCAGTCCACAGATGGGAGAAGAGCTGGAGTCGTCGCTGCCTCTCTCCCACCCCAGAGTGTGGGCAGTAACAGCCTTTCCTAGCCTTTCAGTTTCCCCTCCCATATCCACATTCAGGAAACATGTTGATGTTGCTGATTGCAACATGCTCCTTACACACACCAGTGTTCGAGCACTTGACTCACAGGAAATGCTCCTCTGTCTCAGGCAGATTTCAGGCATCAAACAGGTAACCCCGAAAATGCTTCAGACTTGGCCCTGAAGGGTTCGTATTGAAGAGATGAAAGCACTTCACTCTTTTTTTTTTTTTTGAGATGGTGTCTGGTTCTGTTACCTGGGCTGGAGTCCAGTGGCACGATCTCAGGTCATTGCAACTTCAGCCTCCTGGGTTCAAGCAATTCTCCGGCCTCAGCCTCCCAAGTAGCTGGGATTATAGGCGCATGCCACCATGCCCGGCTAATGTTTGTATTTTTAGTTAAGATGAGGTTTCACAAGTTAGCTGGGCTAGTCTTGAACTCCTCGCCTCAAGTGATCCACCTGCCTCGGCCTCCCAAACTGCTGGGATTACAGGCATGAGCCACTGTGCCAGGCCTTCATCACCATTTTTTTTTTTTCTTTTGAGACAGAGTTCCACTCTTTCGCCCAGGCTGGAGTGAAGTGGCAAAATCTCATCTCATTGCAACCTCCACCCCCCAGGTTCAAGCGGTTCTCCTGCCTCAGCCTCCCAAGTAGCTGGGATTACAGGAGCCCTTCAACATGCCCAGTTAATTTTTGTATTTTTTAGTAGAGATGAGGTTTCACCATGTTGGCCAGGCTGGTCTCAAACTCCTGATCTCAAGTGATCCACCCACCTCAGCCTCCCAAAGTGCTGGGATTACAGGCATGAGCCACTGTGCCCAGCCAGTCATGAGCTCATTTTTTAAGTTCAGAATATTTCAGTACATATCTATCTTTATCAAATAAGAACCATTTTAAAAATAATATAAGCACCACAGCACTGTCACATCAAGAAAGTTAAGAGTACCTCCTTGATACCAGCTAATACCCATTCAGTACTCAAATTTCCCTGATTGTCTCAAAAATGTCATTTCTATCAGGTTTTTAAAGAATAAATCAGGATCCAATAAAAGTCTACAGATTGCATTTGATAATTATGTTAATTTAGCCTGGCGCAGTGGCTCATGCCTGTAATCCCAACACTTTGGGAGACCGGGGCAGGTAGATAACCTGAGGTCAGGAGTTCGAGACCAGCCTGGCCAACCATGGTGAAACCTCATCTCTACTAAAAATACAAAAATTAGCTGGGCGTGGTGGTGCACGCCTGTAATCCCAGCTACTCAGGAGGCTGAGGCAGGAGAACTGCTTGAACCTGGGAGGCAAAGGTTGCAGTGAGCTGAGATCGCACCATTGCACTCCAGCCTGGGCAACAGAGTGAGACTCAGTCTCAAAAAAAAAAAAAAAAATGTTAATTTGAATCAGACAAAATTTTTTATTTTTTTGTTAAAATAAGAAATCAAGCAAGTTAGTTTTTAACCATGTTTTTTTTCATCTTGCATTTGGAAGAAGAGCAAAATGCCCCGAAGTCTCGTTTTTGTTTTCGGATTTTTTGTCTTGATAGCACCTACTCTTCTTACTGTTTTGGAACATAGAAAAGTCAACAAGGCAACAAATTATAAGGAGTAAAACCAACTATAATTACAGGTGTTTCTTTGAAAGTTATTTTCACAAGATGTGGCAATGATTTTTAAAGGCTTGGGACTCTTACAAGACCCTTTTGTTCAAATAACAGTTTTGTGTATGAATTTATTTCAACAGAGAACAATTTAGTAATGTTTGTGAATATTCATTTAGTTCTCCATATTGTACCAGAAAACAAGACTGATATTCTTGTGAATCTTCTCAATTCAACTCTTTATCAAATCAGATTCCTTAAATTAGTGTTGTGACTCAGAAAAAATCTTTCTCCTTATGCAGTATCAGGGAAAAGAGGACATCTCCTATATTTCTTCTTAACATCTCTGTTGCTAACAAGGAATATGCATATTTTAAAACTAGGCTCTGGAATTTTATCAGTCAACAGGAAAGGCCTGGTAAAGTTCCATTCCACTTGGAAATGAAGAAAGGAGACCCTGATTCAAAAAACGAAAAAAGAAAGAATAAAGAATAGCTTAGGGCCAGGCAAGGTGGATCACACCTGTAATCCTAAGATTTTGGGAGGTGAGGTAGGTGGAAGGCTTGATCCCAGGAGTTCAACACCAGCCTGGGCAACATGGCCTAATCCCATCTCTACAAAAAATACAAAAATTAGCCAGGCTTGGTGGTATATACCTGTAATCCCAGCTTCTCAGGAGGCTGAGGTGGGAGAATCACTTGAACCTGGGAGGGGGAGGTGGCAGTGAGCTGAGATCGCACCATTGTACCCCAGCCTGGGCAACAAGAGTGAAACTCCATCTCAAAAAATAATAATAAAATAAATAAATAAATAATCATTCACTTTGTTAGGTGTTTATCACACCTAACCTTAAGAATATGTTACCAAAATAAAAAGTCTTATAGATGAAATCATATTATATCTGAGGTTTACTTTAAAATACTCCAGGAGAAAATTTAAAATAGACTTGGGGGAGGGGACTTATCTGTAGTTATCTGCACATAATCTACATGATTATCTCAAAGCCATCCTTTTGCTGTTGAGAATTCTGATTTTTAGCTGGGCCCATTGGCACCCAGGTAAAAAACTACATTCTTCAGTGTCACTTACAGGTAGATGTAGCCGTAAGTCTTCATCTAGGACAATGATAAATAAGCATAAATATTGTAGACAGCTTCCAAAAGGTTCTTTAATGAAGTACACTTTCCTTCCTTCACTTAACTGCCTAAAATGTGGATGTGATGACTGGTATTCTAGCGTCATCTTGAACCATGAAGATGAGATGAGGTTCAAGATGGTGGAGGGTGAGCCAGAAGTAACTTAGGTCCATAATGCTTTTTGGAGTCACTGTGCCAGCCTTGGACTGCTCCCTTCAGATTTATTCTACATAAGGGAGAAATCAATTGGTATTAGTTTTAAGTCATCATTATTTAGTTCTCTTTTGGGTTTAGGTTATCAATTACTGTGTTAACAAACCACCCCAAAACTGAGTAACTTAGAGTAACAATCTTGTTTTTTTTTTTTTTTAATCATTCCTGATCTGGTGAGATGACTGGGCTCAGTTGAGCGGTTCTTCGGTTCAATGTGATGTCTTCCTGGGCTTCAGTCATCAGGGTGGCTCAACTGAGCTGGAATCTCCAAGATGGCACTTGCAAATGGCTGGCTGTTGATGCTGGATGTTGGTTGAAAGCTCGGCTAGGACTGTTGAATGATGTACCTGCACATGGCCTCTCCATTTGATTCAGACTTCTTGGAGGATAGCATCTGGGTTTCAAGAGGGGATGTCACAAGAGAGCTTTCTAAAATAGAGAAGGCGGCTGGGCATGGTGGCTCACGTCTGTAATCCCAGCACTTTGGGAGGCCGAGGTGGGTGGATCACCTGAGGTCAGGAGTTCAACATCAGCCTGGCCAACATGGTAAAACCCCGTCTCTACTAAAAACAAAATTAAAAAAAATTAGCCGGGTGTGTTTGTGCACACCTGTAATCCCAGCTACTCAGGAGGCCGAGGCAGGAGAATTGCTTGAACCTGGGAGGCGGAAGTTGCAGTGAGCCGAGATCACACCACTGCACTCCAGCCTGGGCAACAGAATGAGACTCTGTCTCAAATAAATAAATAAATAAATAAAATAAAGAAGGCAAAAGTTGTTTGTCCCTTTAAAGACTAAGCCTGGAACTGACACAGTTTCTCTTCTTCTACAGTCTTAAGGAAAGGCCAGATTCAAGGGGAGGGAAAATAAACTCTACCTCTCTATAGGGACAGTGACAAAGAATTGGAGGCCATCTTTAGTCTGTCATGTGTTATGGTCAATGGAAATAGATATATATATATTTACTGAGTGCCTGAGTCCCACCGAGAGATTTTAATTATTTTTTTATTTTTGTTTTTTTAAGATGGAATTTTGCTCTTGTTGCCCAGGCTGAAGTGCAATGGCATGATCTCAGCTCACTGCAACCTCTGCCTCCCGGGTTCAAGCGATTCTCCTGCCTCAGCCTCCCAAGTAGCTCGGATTACAGGCAAGTGCCACCACACCCAGTTAATTTTGTATTTTTTAGTAGAGATGGGATTTCTCCATGTTGGTCAGGCTGGTCTTGAACTCTTGACCTCAGGTGATCTGCCCACCTTGGCCTCCCAAAGTGCTGGGATTACAGGTGTGAGCCACCGTGCCCAGTCGAGATTTTAATTTTTATAATGGGTATAGGATGAGGCCTGGGTGTCTCATTCTGTGTTTTAAATGTTCCTGGGAAATTCTAATGTGCAGTCAAGTTTGAGAACCACTGGGTTGGAACACATAACCTCCTTCCCATCTCAGACCCTGAAACATCCTGAAAACTCCTGTATCTGGAGTTTTTCCCCCATTTTTGCTTGGCTAACTTTGACTCTTCCCTCAGAAACCAGCTTCAGAATCTTTTCTTTAGCAAAGACTTCCCTGCAAGTTCTTTAACAGCACTTATCTCAGCTGTGACAAAATCATCAATGGTGTAATTGTGTCTTTTTAATGTCTTTTCCCCTATTCTTCATAATCGTCAAAGTAAAGGATAGCTCTTCTCTCAGTCAGAACTATTAATAGATGCTGTAATGGAAATGAAACAAGACTCTCAGACTCTTGTTAAAGTAAGAAGTCTAGCAGAGTCTCAGGCTTTAATTTTTTTTTTCCGATCATAAATGTGGGAGAAAGATCATTTAACCTGCTGCTAAGGTTTGAATATTTGTTCCCTTGAAAACTCATGTTGAACCAGCCTGGGCAACATAGGGAGACCCTGTCTCTACAAATAATTTAAAAATTAGCCAGGTGAGGTGGCACATGCCTGTGATCCCAGCTACTCAGGAGGCTGAAGTGGGAGGATCACCTGAGCCCAGAAAGCTGAGGATGCAGTGAACCGTGATTGCACCACTGCACTCCAGCCTGTGCAACACAGTGAGACCCTGTCTCAAAAAATAAATAGGTAAATAAGCTGAGTGTGGTGGCTCACACCTGTAATCTCAGCACTTTAGGAAGCCAAGGTGGGCAGATCACATGAGGTCAGGAGTTTGAGACTAGCTGGCCAACATGATGAAACCCTGTCTCTACTAAAAATACAAAAATTACCCGGGCATGGTGGCACGTGCCTGTAATACCAGCTACTCAGGAGGCTGAGGCAGGAGAATCACTTGAACCTGGGAGGTGGAGGTTATAATGAGCTGAGATCATGCCACTGCTGTCCAGCCTGGGTGACATAGCAAGACATTGTCTCAAAAAATACATAAATAAATAATAAATAAATAAACTTATGGTGAAACTGAATCCCTAATGTGGCCGTATTGATAGGTCGGGCATTTAAGAGGTGATTGGGTCATGAGGACTCTTTTCTCATGAATGAACTAATCCATTCATGGATTAATGGATTAGTGAGTTAATGGATTAATGGGTTACCCTGGGAGTGAGACTGGTGGCTTTATCAGAAGAGGAAGAGAGACTTAAGTAGCACGCTCAGCTCTTTTGCCCTGTGATGCCCTGTGCCACCTCGGAACCCTCCAGAGAGTCCCCAACAGCAAGAAGGTCCTCACCAGATGCAGCCCCTCCACCTTGGACTTTCCAACCTCCATTAACTACAGGAAATAAATTCCTTTTCTTTATAAGTTATCTGGCTTCAAGTGTTCTGTTCTAAGCAACAGAATACAGACTAAGACACAGACACCAATGCATAGCTTCTGATTTAACAGAATTGTTTTTACAAGCATTTATTCTGCTTGGAAATTCAGATGTCAATCATAAGATTGTTACCAGGGCAACAAAATATTAAGTAAGACCACCAAATGGCACCAAGGTTTCTCCTTCAAAATAATGATTGCAATACTGGCAATAATTTCTAATGTCTTTGGACTCCTACAAGATTATTTTGTGCAAATTACACTTCAAAGCACAGATTTATGGAACCACAGAATGGAACACTGGCTGCTGTAATAAATATCCATAGATCTCCATACTACATAAGACTATAAAACACATTTAGAGCCTTTTTAATATTCTCAGTTTATTAACTTATCAATCCACATTCCATTTTTTTGTTTGTTTGTTTTGTTTTGTTTTTTTACTTTAAGTTCTAGGGTACATGTGCATAATGTACAGGTTTGATACATGTGCCATGTTGGTTTGCTCCACCCATCAAGTTATCATTTACATTAGGTATTTCTCCTAATGCTATCCCTCCCCCAGCCCCCCACCCCACTCTGTTTTTTTTTTTTTTGTTTTTTTTTTTTTAAGACAGGGTCTCACTGTGTCACCCAGGTTGGAGTGCAGTGGTGTGATCTCGACTCACTGCAACCTCTGCCTCTCGGGTTCAAGTGATTCTCTTGCCCCAGCCCTCCCAAGTACAAGGAATTACAGGGTTGTGCCACCACGCCGGGCTAATTTTTGTACTTTTAGTAGAGACAGTGTTTTGCCATGTTGGCCAGGGCTGGTCTCGAACTTCTGGGCCCAAGTGATCCGCCTGCCTCGACCTCCCAAAGTTCTGGGATTACAGGTGTGAACCACCATGCCTCGCCTAAACTACATTCTTGAATTAGTTTTATGGCACAGAATATCTTTTTCTCCTCTCTCAATGCCCTCTCTCTCTCTAGCTCCCTCTCCTCCCCTACAGCTGCAAAGAAGAGATCTTCTTAATCCATTTCTTAAACTTCTTTTGATCAATTATAAAGAATTTTTTTTTTTAGATGGAGTCTCACTCTGTCACCCAGGATGGAGTGCAATGGCACAATCTCAGCTCACTGCAACCTCTGCCTCCCGGGTTCAAGTGATTCTCCTGCCTCAGCCTCCCAAGTAGCTGGGACTACAGGCATGTGCCACTACGCCCGGCTACTTTTTTTTTTTTTTGTATTTTTAGTAGAGACGGGGTTTCACCATGTTAGCCAGGATGGTCTCGATCTCCTGACCTCATGATCCGCCCACCTCAGCCTTCCAAAGTGCTGGGACTACAGGCGTGTGCCACTACACCCGGCTACTTTTGTGTGTGTGTGTGTGTGTGTTTAGTAGAGACGGAGTTTCACCATGTTAGCCAAGATGGTCTCGATCTCCGGACCTTGTGATCCACCCGCCTCAGCCTCCCAAAGTGCTGGGATTACAGGTGTAAGCCACTGTGCCCGGCCAATTATAAATATTTTTTAAGGCTAAACTCTGGAATTTTGCTAGTTAGCCTTAAAAGCACAAAGCAGGCCTATAAAGTTCAATTTTACTGGTAGAAAGCAAGAAATGGATGAATAGGATGTTCGCTGACAACCATGCAATTGAAACCTCCTTTGCAAAAATTACGAGAGTGAGCAAACGATGGCAGTGAAGGAGATCGGATCTGGCCAGCCCCTACCTTGCCTTTGGCCCTCAAACTGCTTGTAGTTATTCCTGGGTTTAGGCTAATCTGACTTGTCTCTTTGGGAGACATTTATTTTATTTTCTTTTATATTTCCTTGAGACGGAGTCTCGCTCTGTAGCCCGGGCTGGAGTGCAGTGGTGAGATCTCGGTTCACCGCAACCTCTGCATCCTAGTTCAAGGGATTCTCCTGCCTCAGCCTCCAGAGTAGCTGGAATTACAGGTGCCTGCCACCATGCCCGATTAATTTTTGTATTTTTAGTAGAGACGAGGTTTCACCATGTTGGCCAGGCTGGTCTGAAACTCCTGACCTCAAGAGATCCGCCCGCCTTGGCCTCCCAAAGTGCTGGGATTAGAGGAAAGAAGGAAAGGAAGGAAAAGAAAGGAAAAGAGAGGAGAGGAGAGGGGAGGGGAGGGGAAGGGAGAGAAAGGAAAGGAAAGGGAGAGAAAGGGAAGAGAGAAAGAAAGAAGAAAAGAGAGAAAGAAAGAAAGAAAGAAAGAAAGAAAAATAAAGAAAGAAGAAAAAAGAAAAGAGAAAAGGAAGGAGGGAGGGAGGGAGGCAAGGAAGGAAGGAAGCAAGAAAGAGAGAAAGAGAGAAAAGAGGCTCCTTATAAATAACAAAAGACACCCTTCTCACCAAGGGTTTTTGGAAATTCCAGAGTGATGGGGTGAGAAGGGTGTCTTTGGAACCAAAGCTGAAGACCAAGTACATATTTCTTACTATATCACGGTATCACGGGAGGTAAAACGGAGGTGGCCTTGAAGCAGCTCCTCCCCAGCCCCCAATCCTCTTGTGTGCCCGGAGGATCAGAAGAGGTCCCGCCGAGACTCAGCTTAGCTGTGGTTCAAGCCTCTGATTGCGTGGATAAGTACCAGGTTTCCAGAGTGCCAGGGCGGGGCTGCCCCTTGCGGTGGCATTAACTTTCCATGGCTATTTAAAATCAGCAGAGGACACACGATCTTCAGATGGGTCCTGTTTTACTTCCATATTTTCTCCTAGAGAGAAGAAAAATCATTAAACTTTTTTTTGTTTGTTTTTTGTTTTTTTGTTTTATTCGTTGTTTTTTTTTTTTTTTTTTTTTTTTGAGACGGAGTCTCGCTCTGTGGCCCAGGCTGGAGTGCAATGGCGTGTATCAGCTCACTGCAACCTCTGCCTCCAGGGTTCAAGTGATTCTCCTGCCTCAGCCTCCCGAGTAGCTGGGATTACAGCTTTGTATTTTTAGTAGAGTCGGGGTTTCACTATATTGGCCAGGGTGGTCTCCAACTCCTGACCTCAGGTGATCTGCCTGCCTTGGCCTCCCAAAGTGCTGGGATTACAGGCGTGAACCACCGCACCTGGCCTACTGTATTTTTTTTTTTTTTTTTGAATAGAGAAGGGAGTCTCAAACTCTTGGCCTCAAGCCATCCTCCTGCCTCAGTTTCCCAAAATGCTGGGATTATGAGTGAGCCACTGCACCTATCCCACCCCCTCCCACCCTCATTTTTAGAAGGGCACAGGCTAGAGACCATATTTCCATCAGTCACTTTTGCGGCTAGACCTGTCCATGAGACTAAGTTCTAGCCAATGGGATGCGATAGGAAGATACATGCTCAAATTCTAGGTCCTGCTCTTAAAAAATAATTGTGTGGGCCGGGCGCAGTGGCTCACGCCTGTAATCCCAGTACTTTGGGAGGCTGAGGCAGGCGGATCACGAGGTCAGGAAATCGAGACCATCCTGGATAACACGGTGAAACCCCGTCTCTACTAAAAATACAAAAAAATTTAGCCGGGTGTGGTGGTGGACGCCTGTAGTCCCAGCTACTTGGGAGGCTGAGGCAGGAGAATGGCGTGAACCCGGGAGGCGGAGCTTGCAGTGAGCCGAGATCGCGCCACTGCACTCCAGCCTGGGCGACAGAGCAAGACTCCAACTCGGAAAAAAAAAAAAATAATAATTGTGTGAGCCCTTTTCTCTCTGTCCTCTCCTCTTTCTTGGGGCTCAGAACCAGAAATTAAAGCTACATGTTGATAAAAGCAAAACCATCCCACCTTAACAAGTAAATCGTTGAGATTGCCCAGTGATTTACTGTTAAGTGAGAGAGAGGTACATTTATATCTAGTTTTTTTCCGGTGGTGAAGGAGATTCTTTTTTTCTCTCTCTCTCTCTTTTTTATGAGATGGAGCTTGGCTCTTGTTGCCCAGGCTGGAGTGCAATGGCACGACCTCGGCTCAGTGAAACCTCCGCCTCCCGGGTTCAAGTGATTCTCCTGCCTCAGCCTCCCGAGTAGCTGGGATTACAGGCATGCACCACCACACCAGGCTAATTTTTTGTATTTAGTAGAGACAGGGTTTCACCATGTTAATCAGGCTGCTCTCGAACTCCTGACCTCAGGTGATCCACCTGCCTTGGCCTCCCAAAGTGCTAGGATTACAGGTGTGCGCCACTGCACCTGGCCGGGAGATTCTTTTTTACAACAGCTTAAAGTGCTCTGTAACCAATACACTATGCAGTGATTTGGTTAATACTTTGTGAGTTCCATGAGTGCAGGGTTTATGTCTGCTATTGCTCCCCACTGGACCGCCGGACTCTAGCACAATGCCATGCACGGTAGACATTGAATACATGAGTGATACGAGGATGAATGAGACTAGGGGAAATCAGTGGAAGCCCTAGGCCTGGCACAGTGACTCACTCCTGGAATCCCAGCACTTTGGGAGGCCAAGGAAGGAGGATGGCTTGAGGCCAGGCATTCAAGACCAGCCTGGACAACATGGTGAGATCCCATAGCTATAAAAAGTAAACAATTAGCCGGGCGCGGTGGCTCACGCCTGTAATTCCAGCACTTTGGGAGGCCGAGGGGGGTGGATCACGAGGTCAATAGATCGAGACCATCCTGGCCAACATGGTGAAACCCCATCTCTACTAAAAATACAAAAGTTAGCTGGGCATGGTGGTGGCACACGCCTGTAATCCCAGCGACTCGGGAGGGCGAGGCAGGAGAATCACTTGAACCCAAGAGGCGGAGGTTGCAGTGAGCCGAGATCGCGTCATTGCACTACAGCCTGGCAACAGAGCGAGACTCCATCTCAAAAAAAAAATAATAATAATAGTAATAATAAATTGGCCAGGCGTGGTGATGGCAGTGTTGTCATTGCTTTAAGAGGCAGGAACAGGGGGAAAAGACCCAGCAGTCTAACCACACAGACAAGTCCCAAGTTAGGCACTTCTGTGTGTCTTGGGGGCTGTTGATCAGAAATAACCTATGTGGATCACCCAGCAAAATGACCAGTATGAAAAGATGTTCAGTGGTAGAAAATGAAATAAGCATTGTGACTACAACTCACTCAATAAGCATTCATTGAACACTGGTCACTGGTAAACTGCTATGAAGAAATCTCAGCTGGGTGCGGTGGCTCACGCTTGTAATCCCAGCACTTTAAAGGGAGACCAAGGTGGGCAGATGGATCACTTTAGGTCAAGCGTTCGAGAACAGCCTGGCCAACATGGTGAAACCCCATCTCTACTAAAAACACAAAATTAGCCGGGCATGGTGGCAGGTGCCTGTAATCCCAGCTACTTGGGAGGCTGAGGCAGGAGAATCGTTTGAACCCGGGAGGTGGAGATTGTAGTGAGCTGAGATCACAACACTGCACTCCAACCTGGGAAACAGAGCAAGACTCCATCTCAAAAAGAAAAAAAATCTCAAGCTTATTGGATAGATAAATGCACAGGTAGATAGATGGATATTGAATGAATAAATAGTTCAGTGGATTAAAAACTGGTTAATGAAGAAATGGATGGGTAAATGGATGGAAATATGAATGAATGCATGATGGATAAGGACAAATGAAATAGACAAATGTACAAATGAAAGCAAAGGAAAAAGAGATGCTCAATAGAAATGAATAAGGATGAGAATCAATGCTAGACATGAATGAGTGAATGGTGAATGAAGGAGTGATTGAATGGATGAATACATGGAGTTAAGTTGAAGTACAAACTCGGCCAAGACTTCTTTTTCTCTGCTTTGGGTGGAAATACATTTTTAAAAAAAGAGGGCCGGGCACGGTGGCTCATGCCTGTAATCCCAGCACTTTGGGAGGCTGAGGCGGGCGGATCACCTGAGTTTGGGAGTTCGAGGCCAGCCTGACCAACACAGAGAAACCCTGTTTCTACTCAAAATACAAAATTAGCCAGGTGTGGTGGCTCACACCTGTAATCCCAGCTACTCGGGAGGCTGAGGCAGGAGAATCACTTGAACCTGGGAGGCGGAGGTTGTGGTGAGCCGAGATGGCGCCATTGCACTCCAGCCTGGGCAACAAGAGCGAAAGTCCACCTCAAAAAAAATAAAATAAAATAAAATAAAATAAAAAAAGAGGGAAAAAGGAAAAAAAAAGACTCCCTGATGTGCCACTGACTTCCTGTACATGTTTAGGTAAACTTAATATCACCTCTCTTTCCACCATTTTCCCATTTATAAAGTGGGAAGACTGGATTTGATGACATCACAGCCTCATCCAGGTCTGGTGCCTTCCTTATAACCTGCGTCTCTTCTTTATTCTTTTTTTTTTTTTTTTTTTTTTTGAGACGGAGTTTTGCTCTGTCACCCAGGCTGGAGTGTGCAGTGATGCAATCTCGGCTCACTACAACCTCCGCCTCCTGGGTTCAAGCAATTCTCCTGCCTCAGCCTCCCGAGTAGCTGGGATTACAGGCGCCCGCCACCACGCCCGGCTAATTTTTGTATTTTTAGTAGAGACGGGGTTTCACCATGTTGTCCAGGCTGGTCTCGAACTTCTGACTTCGTGATCCACCTGCCTCGGCCTCCCAAAGTGCTAGGATCACAGGTGTGAGCCAGCACCCCCGGCTTATTCCTTTTTTAAAATTGTTATTATTTCCCACAGCCACATATGCCGGGGAGGTTGTCCCACATATGTTCTACCAAGGCCCCTCTGGCACTGAGATCAAACCCCGGAAGACCCGCTCAGTCTCTCCTCCCGTCTTTTCAACACGTTAGCGCCCCCAGGTGGCTAATTAGACTTCAAAATTCAGTTCTTGAGGCGGGCGGATCACTTGAGGTCAGGAGTTCAAGACCAGTCTGGTCAACATGGTGAAACCCCGTCTCTACTAAAAATACAAACATTAGCCGGACATGGTGGTACGCACCTGTAATCCCAGCTATTCGGGAGGCCGAGGCAGGTGGATCACTTGAGGTCAGGAGTTCGAGACCACCTGGCCAATTTGGCAAAACTCCATCTCTACTAAAAATACAAAAATTAGCTGGGCGTGATAGCGCACACCTGTAATCCCAGCTACTCAGGAGACTGAGGCACGAGAATCACTTGAACCCGGGAGGCGGATGTTGCAGTGAACCGAGATCACGCCACTGCACTCCAGCCTGGGTGGAGTGAGATCTTCTCTCAAAAAAAAAAAAGAAAGAAAGAAAGAAAAAGTCGTGCTTGATTATGCTTGATGGCAAAAAGGTGAGACCTTCCTTTCGGCACTGAGTCTGGTAGAAATCGGTGTTACAGGGTAGCTAACATTTATTGAACACTTACTACGGGCCAGTTACTGCTTTAAATGTTTTATGTGTATTACCCACTGAATCCTACAACAATCCTATGAAGTGGGTTTTATCAGTGCATCCATTTTACCGTCAAGGCAAGAGAGAGTTGGGGAAGGGCGCTTTCTGAATGCTGCTACCGTGTCCAGAGTTGGTTCCTTCCTGTGGGTTTGTGGTCTCGCTGACTTTAAGAATGGAGCCAGGGACCTTCGTGGTGAGTGTTACAGCGCTTAAAGATGGCACGGACCTAAAGAGTTAGCAGCAGCAAGATTTATTGTGTAGAGCAAGAGAACAAAGCTCCCACAGCGTGGAAGCAGACTCTGGTGGGGTGCCGCGCTCGCCAGCTTTTATTCCCTTATTGTCCCCGCCCATGTCCTGCTGATTGGTCCATTTTACAGAGCGCTGATTGGTCCATCTTACAGAGTGCTGATTGGTCCATTTTACAATCCTCTTGTAAGACAGAAAAGTTCTCCAGGTCCCCATTCAACCCAGGAAGTCCAGCTGGCTTCACGTCTCACTACTACCTTTCTGTAGCTGCTACTACTACAGTGAGTAGACGGCAGTGCTGGGATTCGAACCCTCTGTCTTCTGGCTTGGAAGTCTTAACCACTAATCGCGTCTTCCTTTCAGCTACTCCTTGGGAAAGGCCTGGAAAGAAGCTACAGCACAGGGCACAGCGGGGTCTAAGGACCGTTCCGCGGAGCTCAGCCAGCAGGACTGTGGGGCTGCAGGAAAGGACAGTCCAGCCCAGGGTCCCAGCTTCTCCGCCACTCAGGTTGGAAGTCTCGGGCTGCAGTGCTCCTGGGGCTCAGGGGCGGATACCAGCAGGAGCGCGGTTCTGACTGCGCCAGTCAAAAGTGACCAGCGCGCCCAGGGAGATGAGGACCAGCCCGGCCAGCCCCAGGCGGACTAGGTTCCCCCGGGTGTAGTCGGAGGAGCCAGAGTCTGCGGGCGGAGCCGGGAGAGAGGGGCCATCAGCTCCCGGACCCCAAAGTCTGGGCCCTGAACTCCAGGTTTCCAGCCCCTGGGGTGGACTTAGGGACCTGACTCTACAGTCTCAAAGTTGAGGGGGAGTCGATGGAGGCTTCAACTCCTGGGTCCAGGAAGAAGGGGCTGGGGCCTGGACTGCTGGATCAGGAAGGAGGGGCTGGGGGCCTGGAGTCCTGGGTCCAGGAAGGAGGGGCTGGGGGCCTGGAGTCCTGGGTCTGAGGGAGGAGGTACTGGGGCCCGGGAATCCTGGGTCTGAGGGAGGAGGAGCTGGAGGACTAGACTCCTGGATCTGAGGGAGGAGGGGCTGGGTCCCAGGAATCCTGGGTCTGAGGGAGGAGGGGCTGCAGGACTAGACCCCTGGGTCTGAAGGAGGAGAGGCTGGGGGCCTGGGCTCCTGGGTCTGAGGGCGGAGGTCCTGGGGCCTGCATTCCTGGGGCGGAGGAGGCGGGCCGGGCCTCAGGGCCCTCACCTTCCCAGCTGATGACCAGCACCTCGCTGCGCTGCGACAGCACGTAGGGCGCGGAGGGCGTGTGATAGTAGCAGCTGTAGGTGCCGGGGGCGCGGGCGCCCAGCAGCGTGAAGTCGGCCCAGGGCTGCGCGGAGTGGCGGTACTGCAGCGGGGCCGCCACGCCCTCGCGGTACAGCACGAAGCTCATGTTCCGCAGGCGGCCCGCGCAGCGCAGGCTCACGTTGGCGCCAGGACCCACCACCGGCCCGGGCAGCGCCACCAGCGACGGCCGCGGCAGCTCCTCTGCAGAGACGGGGTGAGAGTCCGGGGCCGCGTGAGCGTCTTCCGCTCGCTCGCTCGCTCTGTTTCTCCTTCTCCTCTGTCTCTCGCTTTCTCTGTGCCTCTCTCTCTCTTTCTGCCTCTCTTTCTCTCTGCCTGTCTCTCTCTCTGTCTGCCTCTCTCTCTGCCTCCCTCTCTCTCTGCCTCCCTCTCTCTGCCTCCCTCTCTCTCTGCCTCCCTCTCTCTCTGCCTCCCTCTCTCTCTGCCTCCCTCTCTCTCTGCCTCCCTCTCTCTCTGCCTGCCTCTCTCTTTGCCTGCCTCTCTCTCTGCCTCCCTCTCTCTGCCTCCCTCTCTCTCTGCCTCCCTCTCTCTCTGCCTCCCTCTCTCTCTGCCTCCCTCTCTCTCTGCCTCCCTCTCTCTCTGCCTGCCTCTCTCTCTGCCTGCCTCTCTCTCTGCCTCCCTCTCTTTCTGCCTCCCTCTCTCTCTGCCTCCCTCTCTCTCTGCCTCCCTTTCTCCTTCTGCCTCTTTCTCTCTCTCTCCCCCCGCACTGTACCTCTCTCTCTCTCTGCTCCCCTGTCTCTCTCTCTCTGCTCCCCTGTCTCTCTCTCTCCCCCTAGTGTCTCTGTATCTGTCTTTTCTTGTGTCTGTGAATCTGTTTGCCCGCCTCGCTCTGTCTCTCTTTCCCTATATCTCTCTGTCCCTCCCCCAACTCCCTTGTTCCACCCACTTCTCCTCCCCGACCCCAGGACCTCACCTGTCACCAGCAGCTCCAGGACATCGCTGGGCTGGGACCAGACACCCGGCCCCCAGTCTGGCCTTCGGTAGCAGCAGCGGTAAATTCCCCCTTGGGCTGGAGTCACCTCCTCCAGAAAGAATTCTGCCAGCTCGGAGGACACATCCCGGAAGAGAAGGGGAGCGATCTCTCCAGGCTTGAAAAGTCCAAATCTCCAAGCGGGTTGGGGTGCCCGGCATCTCAAGGTCACGTTGACCCCAGGGGTCACAACTGTAGCCGGCTGAGCTCCCAGCCATGGCTTAGGGTGGTATGAAGCTGGGGGGACTGAATAAACGGGGCTGCCTGGGTCCTCGGGCCTCCTGGGAGCCCCAGAAGATGAAAGGGAAGTTGGGGAAGGAGGAAAATCACCTTGGACAATTACTGCCCCTTTCTTAGCCTCAGTTTCCTGTTTGTAAAATCAGGGAGAGACTGGACTACAATCAAGCCTTGTTAAAACCAGGTGCAAATCAGAGGGGCAGGACAGAAACTTCTGAGCTTTACTCCACAGTTTGTAAACACAGTTTCAAAAGGTCAGGTCCCAGAACTCTGTAATTTTATTATTATTATTATTTTTAAGTAATGAGATGGGAGGGGGCGGTCTCCCTATGTTGAGCAGGTTGGTCTTAAACTACTGGCCTCAAGCAATCCTCCCACCTCGGCCTCCCAAAGTGCTAAGTTTACAAGCTTGTGCCACCACACCCAGACTTTTTTTTTTTTTTTTTTTTTTTTTGAGGCAGGGTCTTGCTGTGTTGCTCAGGCAGGAGTGCAGTGGCATGTTCTCAACTCACTGCAGCCTCAATCTCTTGGGCTCAAACAGTCCTCCACCTCAGCCTCCTGAGTACCTGGGACCACAGGCACATGCCACTACACCAGGCTAATTTTTTTTTTTTAATTTTTAGTAGAGACGAGCATTCGCTATATTGCCCAGGCTACTCTTGAACTCTTGGGCTCGAGCAATCCTCCCACCTCGGCCTCCCAAAGTGCTGGGATTACAGGTGTGAGCCACCACGCCCAGCCAGAACTCTAATTTTAAATAGCTTTCCAGAATATTTGCAATATAGTATTTCAAGAGTTGCCAAAACTTGCTATTTGGAAAAGAAAAATGTTGGATCCCTACCTCATACCATTTCCCAAAACAACTTCCAGATTAATTAAAGACCCTGTGTTTCTTTTTTTTTAAACTATAAAAGTATTCAAAAAACTATAGGAAAATATATTTGTCTTGGGGTAAGGAAGGCTTCTTAAAATATAAAATAAAAAGTTGTATGGAAGATTAATTAATTTGACCACTTCAAATTTCTTAAGTTGTGTATGCTAAAAG
The DNA here is from genome assembly GCF_000001405.40 of Homo sapiens. NCBI lineage: Eukaryota > Metazoa > Chordata > Mammalia > Primates > Hominidae > Homo > Homo sapiens. Next base: position 72,601 of record NW_003571057.2, read on the forward strand.
ACAAAACTGGAGGACAAATGATAGTACTGGCAGATATCACTTATTCACAAATCACACAAATTAAGAGTACAGGAAGGCTGTTGGGTCCGGTGGCTCACAGCTGTAATCCCAGCACTTTGGGAGGCCAAGGTGGGTGCATCACCTGAGGTCAGGAGTTCAAGACCAGCCTGACCAACATGGTAAAATCCCATCTCTACTAAAAACAGAAAAATTAGCCAGGCGTGGTAGTGCTAGCTTGTAGTTCCAGCTGTTTGGGATGCTGAGTAGGAGAATTACTTGAACCCTAGAGTCGGAGGCTGCAGTTAGCTGAGATCATGCCACTGCACTCCAGCCTGGGCAACAGAGTGAGAACTCCATGGTGGCATGCACTTTGGGAGGCTGAGGCTGGAGGATTGTCTGAGCCCAGGAATTCAAAGCTGCAGTGAGCTATGATAGAGCCACCGTACTCCAGCCCGGGTGACACAATGAGACCCCATCTCTAAAAATGAATAAAAATAAGGGTCGGGTGAGGGGGCTCATGTTTGTAATCCCAACACTTTGGGAGGCTGAGGCAGAGGGATCACCTGAGGTCAGGAGTTCCAGACCAGCCTGACCAACATGGGGAAACCCTGTCTCTACTAAAAATACAAAAATTATCCGGGCATTGTGGTGTGTGCCTGTAGTCCCAGCTACTCAGGAGGCTGAGGCAGGAGAATCCCTTGAACCCAGGAGGTGGTTGCAGTGAGCCGAGATTGCACCACTGCACTCCGGCCTGGGCGACAGAGAGAAACTGGTCTCAAAATAAATAAATAAATAAATAAAATAAATAGGTAGAGATAGCTATAGCGACACTGAAATATCTCCAAAAGAGTTTTTGTTTGTTTGTTTGTTTGTTTGTTTTTGAAGTGGAGTCTTGCACTGTCACCCAGGCTGGAGTGCAGTGGCGCGATCTCAGCTTACTGCAACCTCTGCCTCCTGGGTTCAAGCGATTCTCTTGCCTCAGCCTCCTGAGTAGCTGGGATTACAGGTGCGTCCCACCACACCCGGCTAATTTTTTTTTTTTTTTTTTTTTTTTTTTAGTAGAGACGGGGTTTCACCACATTAGCCAGGATGATCTCGATCTGACCTTGTGATCCGCCCGCCTCTGCCTCCCAAAGTGCTGGGATTACAGACGTTGGCCATTGCGCCCAGCCCAAGATCCTATTTCTTAAGCCCTGTACTGTGCCAGGCTCAGGGTTTTGCACATGTGATTTGATGAGATCTCACAGCGGCCCATTTTACAGAGAAGGAAATGGAGTCTTAGCAAGCTGTGACTTGTTCTAGGTCATATGGTCACATATAAATGAATACGATGGTGAAACTGAGGTCCTAGCTTAGGCCTCTGCCTCAGAAGTTCCTGGTCTTCAGTACTCACCTATAATGGCCACTAAGGGGAATGAGAAAAGAAGGAAGGAATGGAGGGAGGGAGGAAAATAAGGATATCTGGGATGGGATTGGGCACCAAAATAAAATCTGAGTAATTGGAAAAGGGGTGTCAGCAACAAAAGGAGAGTGGATGGGGTGGCTACTCACCAGACGGAGTGATGTCTGTGTGACACAGAGGCCCTGTAGGAGGTTGAGGGACTAGTTTCTTTTTCCTTTTTTTTTTTTTGTCTGAGGCAGACTCTCACTCTGTCGCCCAGGCTGGAGTGTAGTGGTGTGATCTCAGCTCACTGCAACCTCTGCCTCCCAGGTTCAAGTGATTCTCCTGCCTCAGCCTCCGTAGTAGCTGGGACTACAAGTGCCCGCCACCACACCAGGCTAATCTTTGTATTTTTAGTAGAGAGGGGTTTCGCCATGTTGGTCAGGCTGGTCTTGAACTCCTGTCCTCAGGTGATCCACCCGCCTCGGCCTCCCAAAGTGCTGGGCCTCGGCTCCCACAGGCATGAGCCGCTGCGCCCAACAGCGAGTTCTTTTCAAAACCCTTTGTGGCCAGCCCCATCTCATTGGTAACCCAGGAATCTGAGTTCCCAGCTCCTATCTCCTCTGGGAAATGAGAATCTTATCCCTCCCTCCTCCTGTCTCAGTAGGCAGAAATTTGGACATCCATTGCCCACCTACCGAAGAAGTCTGAACGCAGACCCCTCTGGCCTGGGCAACCAAGAGTTCAGGCCCTTGAACTCCACCTTTCCAGGGAACAATGATCGTAGAGTTTCTCCTCTCACGAGTTCAGGAATCTGGGTCCCCATTTCCCTCTTCTCTCAGGAGCTAAGAGCCCTGTTCCCAGCCCCCTTTTCCCAGGGAATCAGGAGTCCTGGCTTCCATCCCCCTCCCATATAAGAATCTGGGAGTCCTCCCTGTCTCCTGACCTCTTCCTGCCTCAAGAACCAGAGATACCTGTCCCCACCTCCTTCCTCTTTCGGGAATCTGTGTTCTCTTGCTTTAGGACCCAGGGGTCTGGGCCCCAGCCCTGTTCTTTATTTGAACCTAGAATCCCAAACCTGCTGCCTGGTCCCCCTGCAGGGTGTCTGGGTCTCCATTGCCTCTCTCTCTGCCCCCAACCCCAGCCAGGAACCCAGGGAGAAGAAAGGGGTGACTCACAGAGGGTCAGCAGCTGGAGGATCAGCACCAGGGCCATGGTGGGCAGATACCCGCTAGAGCTGGAGCCAGGGCTTGGTCGCACCCTCTCCCCTCCCAGGAAATGAGGCAACATCAGAAAACCAGACCCAGATCCTCATTTACGGAAGAGAGTATCGAGGTGGGGGCCTGTGGGTGACTGTGTCATAGCCCTATGGCACTGTGGAAAAATTAGCAGGGGGTTCAGTCATAACCTGTGGTGTTCATTTATTTAACTCTAGAAACAAATACTAGTCAGGAGGTGGAGGCAGGAGGATCGCTTGAGCCCAAGAGTTCAAGAGCAGCCTGGGCAACAGAGCGAGACCCTGTCTAAAAAATAAATAAATTGTGCCACTGCACTCCAGCCTGGGTGATAGAGTGAGACCATGTCTTTAAATATAGATAGACAGATAGAAAGATATCTGTCTGTTTTAAAAATAAGAACCTATTATGTGCCAGACTCTTGCTGTCATTGATTGACAGATAGATAAAAATTTGCACCTATTATGTGCCAGGCCCTTGCTGTGATTGAAAGATAGATAGATGGATGGATGGATAGATAGATAGATAGATAGATAGATAGATAAAAATTAGCACCTGTTAAGTGCCAGGCCCTTGCTGTGATTGATTGATGGATAGATAAAAATTAACACCAATTATGTGCCAGGCCCTTGCTGTGATTAATTGATCGATTGATAGATTGGTTGACAGAGAAAAATTAGCACCTATTATGTGCCAGGCTCTTGGTGTGATACTGTGTTAGATAGATAGATAGATAGATAGATAGATAGATAGATAGATAAAAATTAGCCCCTCTAGGCCGGGCGCGGTTGTTCACGCCTGTAATCCCAGCACTTTGGGAGGCCAAGGCGGGTGGATCACCTGAGATCGGGAAGTTCGAGACCAGCCTGACCAACATGGAGAAACCCCCGTCTCTCCTAAAAAAGAAAAATTAGCCGGCTGTGGAGGCGCGCGCCTGTAATCCCAGCTATTCAGGAGGCTGAGGCAGGAGAATCGCTTGAACTCGGGAGTCGGAGGTTGCTGTGAGCCGAGATCGCGCCATTGCACTCCAGCCTGGGCGACAGAGCTAGACTCAATCTCAGAAGAAAAAAAAAAAAATTAGAACCTATTACGTGCCAGACCCTCGCTGTGCCATGTTGGCAGGCACAGAGGGAACTCAGACTCCGTTACTGCTCTCAAGCAGCAGCTACCAGTCCGACTGAAAGACCAAGACCAGGTCAGTTTCCTTTTTTTTTGAGACGGAGTCTCGCTCTGTCGCCCAGGCTGGAGTGCAGTGGTGTGATCTCGGCTCACTGCAAGCTCCGCCTCCCGGGTTCACGCCATTCTCCTGCCTTAGCCTCCCCAGTAGCTGGGACTACGGGCGCCCACCACCACGCCCGGCTAATTTGTGTTGTATTTTTAAGTAGAGACAGGGTTTCACCATGTTAGCCAGGATGGTCTAGATCTCCTGACCTCGTGATCCGCCCGCCTCGGCCTCCCAAAGTGCTGGGATTACAGGCGTGAGCCACCGCGCCCGGCCCAGACCAGGTCAGTTTCTTAAGTGATCTGAGCTATAATGGCGGTAACAGAGCACTGTGAGAGCCCGCAGAAAGCTCCTAACCCATCTGGGATGAGACCTAGCGCTTCCAGGACGAGCCGATGTTGAGCTGAGACCTCGAAGGACAGGTTAGTCATTCACCTTCTCCCGGGCTCAGTTTCTTCGTCTGTAAAATGGGCTTTCATACATAAACTATAAAATGGGGACTATTTTGTTCCGCCTTAGGTGGGTCGCAGCAGGAGGACTAGTCACTCCGGAGCGACTTCTAGGCTGAGACTAAGGAGATTCCACGCAGGTCCGCAAAGTCAGGCTTGCGCTTGCTCCTGACACCACTTCCTTTACCTCCACGGCTCCATCTTTGTTCTGCGCGAGTGCGCACGCGCAGGCTCCGAAAGCGGGCCGTCGCACAGAGGGACCACAACTCCCAGAGTGCTCCGCGTCCTTGCTTTCGCCTCTACTTGTGCTCCAGGGCGCACGCGCAGCCCTGGGAGCGGGTTCTCGCGCATAGGGACCACAACTCCCAGGGTGCTCCGCGTCCTCGCCGCTGTCGCCGCCGCGGAGACAAAGATGGCTGCGAGTAAGTGCAGGTTCCGGTGGCGCACGGGGCTCGGGTAGTTCTGGGAACCTCTGGGCGGTCCTGGGACTGAGGTGCGGCAGGGCAGGGGTGGAAGCGATGGGGTCCGTGCTGGAGGGGAACGCAGAAGTCACGAGGGGGCTCCTCCAGGGCAGGGGTGGCACGAGAGGGTTAGAGGTCACCGGGGGCAGCTACTTGCAGGGGTGACGCTTCTTGCCACCCCTTCAGGAGTCGGCGCCTTCCTCAAGAATGCCTGGGACAAGGAGCCAGTGCTGGTCGTGTCCTTCGTCGTCGGGGGCCTCGGTGCGTGAGTGCTCCAGGCGCAAACTTGCATCGTCCACCCCCGTCCCCCTACATCCCTCCATCTTGTACCCCTAAAGCCCTATCGCCGCCCTCGGGTCCCCTCTAGTGTGTCTGCACCCCCACGGCATCCCCTTATCTATCCCCATACCCATTATAACCTCTCCACCATCGCCCCCCGCGTTCCTCTCCACCTACCCAATACGCTCTTAACCCCTCTAAATGAGACGTTCTCAACCCTGCTTATGCCTTAACACCTGAGCACCAAAAAAAAGTCCAGATCCTCCTCCTCCTTTTCATCTTTCCTCTCCCCCATTCTGAATTGAGTTGGCTTGGGTGGAGGTGGGACTGGGGAATCTGTGTCTTGTGAAAATCCCCGTATGATCCCAATGTGCCTTGCTGATTGAAAATCTCTGCCCTCTGCCCTGGAACTGCCCTACTCACACTTTAATTAGCACCGGAGTTCCTGCAGGGATGGGGGCGGGGGATTGTTAAAATGTAGCTTTTTTTTTTGCGATGGAGTCTCACTCTCACCCAGGCTGAAGTGCAGTGGCGCGATCCCGGCTCACTGCAACCTCGGCCTCCTGGGTTCAAGGGATTCTCCTGCCTCAGCCTCCCGAGTAGCTGGGATTACAGGCGCCCAGCTAATTTTTTGTTTTTGTTTTTGAGACTGAGTCTCGCTCTGTCGCCCAGGCTGGAGTGCAGTGGCGCGATCTCGGTTCAGTGCAAGCCCCGCCTTCCGGGTTCACGCCATTCTCCTGCCTCAGCCTCCCGAGTAGCTGGGACTACAGGCGCCCGCCCCCATGCCCGGCTAATTTTTTGTATGTTCAATAGAGACGGGGTTTCACCGTGTTAGCCAGGATGGTCTCGATCTCCTAACCTCGTGATCCTCCCAACTCGGTCTCCCAAAGTGCTGGGATTACAGGCGTGAGCCACCGCGCCCGGCCAGCTTTTTTTTTTTTTTTTTTTTGAGATGGCGTCTCGCTCTGTCTTCCAGGCTACAGTGCAATGGTTTGATCATGGCTCACTGCAACCTCCGCCTCTAGGGTTCAAGTGATTCTCCTGCCTCCGCCTCCCAAGTAGCTGGGATTACAGGCGAGCACCACCACGCCCGGCTAATTTTTGTATTTTTAGTAGAGACAAGGTTTCACCATGTTGGCCAGGCTGGTCTTGAACTCCTGACCGCAAGTGATCTGCCTTCCCAAAGTGCTGGGATTACAGGGGTGAGCCACTGCGCCCGGCCAAACTGTAGGTTCTGATTCTGTAGGTCTGGGGTGGGGCATGGGATTCTGCATTTTTGAAGAGTTCCCAGGTCTTGTCAGTACTGCTGGTCCACCAGCCAGGCACTAGGTTAAGGTTCTGAACACTTATTCAGTATGGCAGCCACCAGCCACAACTGGCCACTGAGCATTTGAAGTGGTGCTGGTATGAATTGAGGTGGTATAAGACACTGGATTTCAAAAACTTAGTATAACAGAGTGTGTAAACTACCAATAATCTTTTGTTGATTACATGGCGAAGTGATGTTTTGGATGTACTATGGTTTTTTTTGTTTGTTTGTTTTTGTTTTTTTGAGACGGAGTTTCGCTTTTGTCCAGGCTAGAGTGCAATGGCCTGATCTCGGCTCACTGCAACCTCCGCCTCCCGGGTTCAAGCGATTCTCCTGTCTCAGCCTCCTTAGTAGCTGGGATTACAGGCGCATGCCACTACACCTGGCTGTTTTTGTATTTTCAGTAGAGACGGGGTTTCATCATATTGGTCAGGCTGGTCTCGAACTCCTGACCTCAGGTGATCCACCCGTCTCAGCCTCCTAAAGTCCTGGGATTATAGGCATGAGCCACCTCGCCCATCCAAGTATGTTTCTTAAAATTTGTTTCATCTGTATCTCTTATTTTTACTGTAGCTACTAGAAGATATAAAATTATATACCTGGCTCTTACCATCTGTCAGACAGCACTGGCCTAGAACATTCCTTTTATGAACTGTACCCCATCCCCCAGGACTCCTGGCTCCCACCCTAAATGGACTGTGGTCAGTGACTGTTGTTTGTGCAACCCTTTCTCCTCCAGTTTGTAAGGCTTTTTTTTTTTTTTTTTTTTGGTGATGGAGTCTCTCTCTGTTGCCCAGGCTGGAGTGCAATGGCACAATCTGGGCTCACTGCAACCTCTGCCTCCCAGGCTCAAGGGATTCTTCTGCCTCAGCCTCCTGAGTAGCTGGGATTACAGGCTCCTGCCACCACGCCCGGCTAATTTTCGTATCTTTAGTAGAGATGGGGTTTCATCATGTTGTCCAGGCTGGTCGCGAACTCCTGACCTCAGGTGATCCGCCCACATTGGCCGCCCAAAGTGCTGGGATTACAGGCTTGAGCCACTGTGCCCGGCCAAATTTGTAACAGTCTTGATTTCTCCAGAACAGTCCCATGACACTACCCCCAGGATGCTCCATGATGACCCTACACTCAAACGTGCTCATTCCATGACCAACCCCACTGCTGCCTCCTCCAGGCCCCACGTATCTGTGAGTGTTAGGCTCCAACCCCTACCTCCACTTAACCCCCCAAAAAAGAGTTTTAAACCCTCCTGTCTATAAGTAGGGATCCCAAGGTACCAAGGATCCTCCTGGACGTGCTGGCCCTCCCTGCTGCCCTCCCCCTGCGCACTTTATCTTCCCTTTGCCAAGGCTCACCTTCTCTTCCCCTCTCTTCAGAGCCACCTTCCCCTGGGCCTCACCCCTGTGTCTCTCCACAGCTGTAATTCTGCCCCCATTGAGCCCCTACTTCAAGTACTCCGTCATGATCAACAAGGCCACGCCCTACAACTACCCAGGTGAGTGGGGGCCAGGCAGGGATCCCCGGAATAGGCCCAGCCTCCCTGTGCTGGCGTAAGGGCAGTTATGGGCAGGTCTTTCCTAAGCAGTTATCAGAGATTCTGCAGTGGTGCCCGGACCCCCCGTTCCATTTTTTAAGAATTGAGATATAATTCGTATACTATTCTGTGTTTGTGCTTCGTTTTTGTTTTTTTGGGTTTTTTTGAGACAGAGTCTCGCTCTGTCGCCAAGGCTGGAGTGCAGTGGCGCGATCTCAGCTCACTGCAAGCTCAGCCTCCCGAGTAGCTGGGACTACAGGTGCCCGCCACCACGACACGCAAACTTTTTCGTATTTTTTTAGTAGAGGCGGGGTTTCACCGTGTTAGCCAGGATTGTCTCGATCTCCTGACCTTGTGATCCACTCACCTCGGCCTCCCAAAGTGCTGGGATTACAGGTGTGAGCCACCGCGCCTGGCCTGTGCTTCGAGTTTCTATTACCTTTCCAGATTTCTGTCTCTCTCTGGGTTCCCATCTGTGGTGGTTTCTTGGTCTCCATCTTCTCAGGTTTCTGTCCTGTTTCCCCATCTCTTTTGACCCTAGCTCTCTAGTGCGCGGGATCTCTCCCTCGCTATCTCTCTGGTTTTCCGTGTCTCTCAGTCTCTGTATTTCCCGCCTCTTTCTGCATCACTGATTCTCTGACCCTTCCCCTCTCACCCCTGGGGTCCCCCTTCCCTCTCTGAACATAAAGCGACAGACCAGCTCTTCTCTCCAGGGCCCTGGAGACGTGCTGGTCTCAGTGGCCCACCTCCTGCCCCACAGTGCCCGTCCGTGATGATGGGAACATGCCCGACGTGCCCAGCCACCCCCAGGACCCTCAGGGCCCCAGCCTGGAGTGGCTGAAGAAACTGTGAGCACCTCCACTGACAGAGGCGGCCCCTCCCACGGCTCCCAATAAAAATGTGAAAACCAACCCCCGAACGTGAGCATGTGTGTGATCAGAGGTGGGAACAAGTAGACGGTGGCCGGGGTGAGTGTGGGGTCAGTTTATTGGGCATGCGTCAGTCAGAGGCTGGGCTGGCCAGGGTCGGGTAGGGCAGCAGTTTGTCTGGACCCCGAGAAACCCAACTGGAATCCAGGGCCTCATCTGCTTCAAAGCCAAAGTCTTCCTCAACCTTAATCTGCAGGAGATAAGGAACAAGGTGTTAACAGGCCTGGGAATCTAGAAAATCCCATCAGCTTCACCATTTTTGTTTTCATTTTGTTTTGCTTTTTAAAGAGACAGGGTCTCACTCTGTTGCCCAGGCTGGAGTGCAGTGGTGCCATCATAGTTCACTGCAGCCTCTGCCTCCCAGGCTCAAGTGATCCTCCCACCTCAGCTTCCCAAGTAGCTGGGACTACAGGCACTTGCCAACCAAGCCTAACATGTTTTTTCTTTTTGGTAGAGATGGGGTCTCAGTATGTTGCTCAGGCAGGTCTCAGACTCCTGGCCTCAAGTGATCCTCCCACCTAGGCCTCCCAAAGTGCCGGGATTACAGGCATGAGCCACTGCACCTGGCCAGCCTCACAGTTCTTGTCTGCCCAGGCCAGTCACCTTCCTCCTTACACCTCAGAGGCAATCCCAGTGTTCCTGGGTCCAGATGTTCTTCCAGCTTTCCTCCCCACACTGGGCCTTCCCTTCCACTCCGTCTTCTCTGATCCTTCCTTCTCCTCTACTCCCAGCCTTCTCTAGCTATTTTTCCTTCTCCAGGTCTTCCTCTTTCCCTTTCCAACTTTGCCTCCTTTTTACCCAAGCCTTTACCCCACTTTTTCCAACTACTTCCCTGCCTGATCCTAGGCCTCCAACATGTCCTGGTTCACCTCCCTTCTCCAACTTTCCCCAGCCCTGGGCCCCTCGGGGTGCAGAACCAAAACCCAAGAGCCCTGAACCTAACTCAGCCCCAGCCCTGGCCCCTCCCCTTGAGTCCCCCCTCCTTACCTGCACTGGCGCCGGCTCTGGAGCCCCAGTCCCTCCCCTTGAGTTCCCGCCTTCCTCACCTGCACCGGGGCCAGCTCTGGAGTCAGCGCATTTCCTGCTCGGCGTCCATCCCGTGGCACTCGCCGCCTCTTCCGCCCACTGGGCCCCTCACCGGGGGCTGGGCTGCCGGGTTCTGGGGGTGCAGGAGTCCTTCTGGGCGGGGACAGTGTCTCTTTCTCTGGAGGCTCATTCTCCGCATTGCCTGGGGTGGGGGCATCCGTGCCCTGGCTGCCCTCATCCTGGCAGGCAGGAGGGGGAGGTAGGTGATGGGTGGGTCCTGAGCTCCCAGTTCCTGACCCTCCTGGAGGCCCAACACTCACCTCCAGCACAATGGTGAACTGGCTGGCCCGGTAGTCATCCCCGTAGGAGTCCAGCACTCTCATGAGGAACCTGCTCAGGGGGAGAAGCCACCAACGGAATAACTTATCTCCTAGCGGCTGGGGAAAAGGGCCACAGGATAGAGCTCAGCTCCCACTCCACTCAACGCCAAAGCTGTCCTGGAGCCAGACGGTCCTGAGCTCTGGCACTGGAGGCCTGGGAGCCATGCCCTTGACCAGCCTTGAGACCTCGAGCAAGACAAGGCAACCATTCTGAGGCTGAGTTTCCTGCTCTGCAAACGACATGACACCCTCGGCTGGATGTTGCAGCGGTGACACTGAAGTAGTGACACCAGACGATTTCTGTACTTAATGTGATGTCAGCACTTAGTAAACATTCATATGTGAGTTATAATTTTTATTGATAACTGAAGAGAGGGGAGTACAGAACGCTCCTCCTAATGACCTCACCTCTTATAAACACCCCCTTCTCTTTTTTCCCCAGCCCCTGCCTCCAGAGTTCCTTAAGGTTCAATTGATGGAATGCCTCCTCTGCACCAGCACCTGGGCAGGTTTGTTGTTGTTGTTTTGCGACGGAATCTCACTCTGTCACCCAGGCTGGAGTGCAGTGGCGTGAATTTGGCTCACCACAACCTCCACCTCCCTGGTACCAGCGATTCTCCTGCCTCAGCCTCCCGAGTAGCTGGGACTACAGGCGCCTGCCACTACACCCGGCTAATTTTTTTGTATTTTTAGTAGAGACGGAGTTTCACCGTGTTAGCCAGGATGGTCCCGATCTCCTGACCTCGTGATCCGCCTGCCTCGGCCTCCCAAAGTGCTGGGATTACAGGCATGATGAGCCACTGCGCCCGGCCTATTTCAACTTAAGTGAAAATCTCACCTGTGGCCAGCGGCTACCGTGCTGGACAGCACAGGTACGGACAGAGGAACCCTGGGAGCCGCAGGTTTCAGCTTTGGGGAGGGAGGATGAACTAGCAAAGGCAGCCAAGAAGGAACAGCCGGAAAGGCAGGAGACCCCAGGTTGCTGGGTGCCCAGGATGGCAAGAATGGGCTCCAGGGAAGAGCACATAGCCCTGGGCCACTGTGCCGAGCCTGAGCCAAGGACTGAGATGAGAACTGTGGTTGACTCAGCAACGTGGAGCCATTCCTACAAAACTTGCTCCAGTTTTGCTGGTACAGGGACACTGCGAGTGGCAGGGGCAGCAGCCACCTGGGCAGGTTCTGTGGAGACACACAGTGGGAAGCTCTGAGCTCAGCTCACCACCTGCAAGCTCCGACAACCCTGCCGCAGCCTCATGATATTGGTGCTGCCCTTAGTTGATAGGAAACAGCTCAGAGAAGGGACACTGCTTGCTTAGAGTCACACAGCAAAAAAAAAAGAAAATACTTGCAGTCAGGTCTGTGCTCGTGTGCCTTCCATCCTGCTGTTCCCTCCCTTCAGGGGGAGGAGGCCCTCCACCCGGCCCTCCCTCAGTCCCAGTGCTCAGCCCTCTCCACCCGGCCCTCCCTCAGTCCCAGCGCACAGCCCCTTCCACCCGGCCCTCCCTCAGTCCCAGTGCTCAGCCCTCTCCACCCGGCCCTCCCTCAGTCCCAGTGCTCAGCCCTCTCCTCCAACACCGAATCCCACTCTTCCTCCTTGTTTGCCTCAGCCCCCGGCCCTCATCTCCGGCTTCTCCTTGTGGCTTGTGAGGGTTGGGTGGATGTGGAAGTGGGAGAGACAGAGGGGCTGGGAGCATTTGGGAGCTGAGGCTCACAGGCCCAGAGGGGACGGAGAAGGGGTTACCTCCGTTCCTGCTGCAGCCTCCGAGTTATCCTCTGCACCTGATGGAGCCTGTTCAGGACCCGCTCGTTCACCTATGGGGTGGGAAACGCCCATCAGCTGGATCCCACGGCTCCCGTTCATTTGTTTAACGGATGTTTAATGGGGCACGCACTAAACTCTGGAGACTGGCCAAAGACCATCCCGTGGCCTGAGGTCCTTCCACCTTCCCATCCCTCCGGCTCCCCTCTCACCATGCCACAGTCCTGAGTGCCCTCCAGTGGGGGCCTTCCGCGTGCTGTTCCTCTACCTGGACCCTCTCCCCAGTCATCCGCACAACTTACTCCCCACTCCAAGTCTTAGGTCAACTGTTACCTGCTCAGAGAGCCTGAACCTCCCATTAAGTCGAAACACACCAGGCCAGGTGCGGTGGCTCACGCCTGTAATCCCAGCACTTTGGGAGGCCGAGGCGAGTAGGTCCCCTGAGGTCAGGAGTTCGAGACCAGCCTGGCCAACATGATGAAACCCCATCTCTACTAAAAATACAAAAAATTAGCTGGGCGTGGTGGCAGGTGCCTGCAGGATAGTCGCACGAACCTGGGAGGTGGAGGGGTGAAGTGAGTTGAGATCACCCCACTGCACTCCAGCCTGGGCAACAGAGCGAGGTTCTGTTTCAAAAAAAAAAATTGCAACACACCCGACCCCCCTTCCCATGCCAGAACCCCACCCGGCCATTCACTCCTGGCTTTATTTCCTCCTAGTGCTCATCTGAGGAGGCAGGACGCAGCCTCTCCGCCTCTTTGCTTATTCTGCTGACTGACCGCCTCTCCAGCCAGAGCATGAGCTGAAAAACGACAGCAACTTGTTTCTACATCCCGTGCCTTAACCAGAGCCTGGCACGTAGTACATCCTCCATGAACATTTGCAGAATCAATGACTTTGCAAAGTGAGAAGTGCTTGGTGAATACCAAAGAGTCAGACATGCTGGAGGTTAGGGCAGGAGGTGCGACTTTAGTTACGACCTGCAGAGAAGGCCCGTGGGCCCAGACTTGAATAAGGAGGAGACAAAGGGGTGACAGGAGGAAAGTATGCCAGGCTGAGGGGACAGCCCTGCACGCAGCTTCTGAGGACTCCAGCCTAGACATGGAGGGAGAGATGTGACTCAGCCAAACAGGGACCCAAAGACAGTGGCTGAAGCAGGTGCTGCTCCTGGGTCAGAAAGACCTGAGTTCCGGGCGGGGCACAGTGGCTCACGCCTGTAATCCCAGCACTTTGGGAGGCCGGGGCGGGCAGATCACTTGAGGTCAGGAGTTCAAGACCAGCCTGGCCAACATGGTGAAACCCCGTCTCTACTAAAGATACAAAAATTGGCCGGATGTTGTGGCACATGCCTGTAATCTCAGCTACTCAAGAGTTTGAGGTCGGGAGTTCCAGACCAGCCCGGCCAACATGATGAGACCTCATCTCTACTAAAAAAAAAAAAAAAAAAAGAAAAATACAAAAATTAGCTGGGTATGGTGGCGCATGCCTGTAATCCCAGTTTCTCAGGAGGCTGAGGCAGGAGAATCGCTTGAACCCAGGAGCTGGAGGTTGCAGTGAGCCGAGATCACACCACTGCCCTCCAGCCTGGGTGACAGAGTAAGACTCTGTCTCAAAAGAAAAAAAAAAAAAAAAGTGCCAGGCACGGTGGCTCACGCTTGTAATCCCAGCACTTTCAGAGGCCAAGGCGAGCGGATCACCTGAGGTCAGGAGTTTGAGACCAGCCTAACGTGGTGAAACCCTGTCTCTACTAAAAATACAAAATTAGCCAGGTGTAGTGGCGCATGCCTGTAATCCCAGCTACTCGGGAGGCTGAGGCAGGAGAATCGCTTGAACCCAGGAGGCGGAGGTTGCAGTGAGCTGAGATTGCAGCATTGCACTCCAGCCTGGACAACAAGAGCGAAAATCCATCTAAAAAAAAAGAGTTCAAGTTTTGGCTCTGGCTTGGCACAGTGGCTCATGCCTATAATCCCAGCACTTTGAGAGGCCAGGAGTTCGACACCAGCCTGGGCAACAGAGTGAGACCCCAACACTCAAAAACTAACCAAAAAAATTAGCTGGGCTTGGTGGCTGTAGTCCCAGCTCCTTCGGAGGCTGAGATTGCTAGAGTCCAGGATGTTGGGGCTGCAGTGAGCCACAGTCATGCCACTGCACTCCAGCCTGGGCAACAGAGAAAGACCCTGTCTCAAAAAAAAAAAAAAATCTCAGATCTGCCACTGCTGAGCTCTGAGCTTGGGTGCATTACTTAACCTCTCTGAGCCTTGATTTTCTATACTTGTAAAATAGTAGTAATCTATTCCTGGGGGTGGATTAATGGCAGAGGCTCCAGTTGAGTCCGTTTGGGCCTTGGTGTCTGTCTGTTAAACAGGGTTTGGAATATGCCCCTGGCCTCTAGCCTTCCTCCTTACAGAACTCCCCAATACTGTCATTAAGAATTGAGGCCAGATGTGGTGGCTCATGCCTGTAATCCTAGCATTTTGGGAGGTCAAGGCGAGTGGATCACTTGAGGTCAGGAGTTCAAGACCAGCCTGGGCAACATGGCAAAACCCCATCTCTACAAAAAGTACAAAAATTAGCCAGGTGTGGTGGTGTGTGCCTGTAGTCCCAGCTATTTTGGGGGCTGAGGCAGGAGGACTGCTTGAACCTGGGAGACTGAGGCTGCAATGAGCTGAGATTGCGCCACTGCACTCCAGCTTTGGTGACAAAGTGAGAACCTGTCTCAAGAAAGAGAAAAAGAGTTGAAGGCCAGGCGTGGTGGCTCAAGCCTGTAATCCCAGCACCTTGGGAGGCTGAGGTGGGCAGATCACCTGAGGTCAGGAGTTTGAGACCAGCCTGACCAACATGGTGAAACCCTGTCTCTACTAAAAATAGAAAAATTAGCTGGGTGTGGTGGCGGGCGCCTGTAATCCCAGCTACTAGGGAGGCTGAGTCAGGAGAATCACTTGAACCCAGGAGGTGGAGGTTACAGTGAGCTGAGATGGTGCCATTGCACTCCAGCCTGGGAGACAAGAGCGAGACTCCACCTCAAAAAAAAAAAAAAAAAAAAAAAAAAAGTTGAATTATTTCCCCCAAAAGAGGGTGTTGAGGCTTTAACCCCCAGTACCTCAGGATCACCTTATATGGAGACAGTGTCGTTACAAAAGTAATCAAGTTCAAATGAAGCCAGTGGGTGGGCCCTAATCCAGTATGACTGGAGTCCTTATAAAAAGGGTAAATTGGGACACAGACACACACACAGGGAGCAGCAATGTGAAGATGAAGGCGGAGATCAGGGTGATGTTTGTACGTGCCAATGACTGCCAGAAACCTCCAGAAGCCAGGGGAGAGGCCTGGAAGATTCTCACAACCCTGTCGACACCTTGCCTTGGATGTCTAGCCTCCAGAACTGTCAGACAGGAATTTCTGTGCTTGAGGGACCCTATTTGTGATAAGTTCTGGGAGTCCAAGCAGACTAATACAACTGTCTTCAGAGTTTCAGGCATCCAGACCTGATGCTGTTCCTCCCCCATTTGAAACCCTTCAGTGGCTCCTTCACTCTCAAGGAAAAAAAAATATCCAGACTTCTTGTCCTGGTGTTCCTGGCCTGCCAAGATCTGAGCCCTGCCTGCTGTTTAATCCTCATTGATTGATTGATTGATTTTGAGACGGAGTCTCACTCTGTCACCCAGGCTGGAGTACAGCAGCATGATCTTGGCTCACTGCAACCTCCGCCTTCCGGGTTCAAGCAATTCTCATGCCTCAGCCTCCCTAGTAGCTGCGACTACAGGTGCGCACCACCACACCTGGCTAATTTTTTTGTATTTTAGTAGAGATGGGGTTTCACCATGTTGGCCAGGCTGGTCTCGAACTCCTAACCTCAGGTGATCCGCCTGCCTCAGCCTCCCAGTGCTAGGATTACAAGCGTGAGCCACCATGCCCAGCCCATCCTTATTCTCAGCAAGGAGGCTATTGCAGTCATTCAGCCCAGACAGCTGGAGTTTGCAATGGCAGCCATAGGGATGGAGGAGAGGAGAAGGGTCCAGAGACACTCAAGAGGCGGAATGAATGAGTCGAGAGGAGTGAATCCTGGCAGGGGTATGGGAGATGTGAAGAGCTTGGGCTTTCACCTGTGAGCGGTGCCACGCATTGAGAGGCCCCCGGGAGACATCAGAGAACCCATCTGCGTTGTCAGGGAAGCTCCACGGGAGATGGCCCTTCCAGGGGCCCGGCACAGGGCCAGACACATAATGCATGCTAAATGACTGAATATATAAGCTAAATGACTGAATATATCAGCAAGCCAAGAAAGGCTGGGCATGTGGAAAGGCAGAGATTGCGGGGGGCGGTAGTTTAGGCCAGGGGACCCCAAAACCGGGGGATCCGCACTCACCTACCTGCTCGATCTCCCGGCAGCGCCGACCTAGTGCCTGGTACTTTCTGCGATTTAATTCCCGCTGGCGCCGCCGCCGACCCCGGGCTGCCTCTTCCTCTTCATCTCGCTCCCGGAGCCCTGAGCCGCCCAGACCACCTGACACAAACTCCACTTCCGTCTCCAGCTCGCTCTCCAGGATGTGGCCACCAAATAGGGGAGGCAACGCCAACTCTGAGCCTGGCGGCGCTGAGAACTCCTCAAAGCCCACGGCTGCCATGGTCCTGAGAGGCAGGGAAAGGCTCAGGGGCCCTGGATCCTGGACCCCCAGCCCCTTCTCCCACTGAACCAGGAGCCCAGACCCCAACCCCTCCTCCCTGAGATCCTAGAATCCAGGCCCCCAGCCCCTCCTCCCTCAGACCGTAGAATCCAGCTCCCAGCCCTCCTCCCTCAGACCCAGAAGTCCAAGTCCGCAACCCACCCTTCGCAGCACCCACAGGGTTCAAGCCCTGACCCCCTCCTCCCAGGATGCAAGAGTCCAGACCTCCAGACTTTTTCTCTCCAAGGACCCAGGGAGTCCAAGCCCCAACCCTCAACCAGACGCAAGAGTCCTGGCTTCCAACCTCCTAGTCTGTCAGATCCAGCAGTCCAAACCCCTAACCTTCTCCTCCCTCAGGATGACCCCAGTCCATAAAAGGGTTCTAAGGTAAAGCAGTTGCATGAACTACAACCCCCATCAGACCTCAGCGTAAAAGCTCATATGGTTGCACACAATGCAGCTGCACTGTTTTCTGGGATTCGCACTTTTTCACAAGGGCTCAGCCACATACCCTTCTCTCTGCTCCAATTCCATCTCCGCGACCTCCGGAAGCCCCGGGCCTCAGAGCTTCCGACCTCTTCAATCTGTAGGTTAAGCCGTTCGCAAAACTACTTGTCCCATCAGGCTCAGCAGCCGAGGACGGCGGGACGTGGCCCTAGGCCTTGTGGGAGTTGTAGTTTCCTGTTTCCGGCTTCGCTTCGGCCCACCCCCACGTCCACCCCGAATCCCTGCTTAAAGGCCTTGCTTTCTTGTCTAACGCCGCAACCAGTCCTCTGAGTTGCCAACGTCTTTCTTCTTGTCTCGACGCCCCGTCGTCCGGCCACAGCGATTCTCTGCTTAGCAGGATCGGTCCACAGCGGGACGTGAGTCCCTTTCCTCCTCGCGGCTTACCGCCTCTCTCCGCCTAGTGCCAGGTGCTAATAAAGTTGTTGTTTCAAATGCGGCCAGGAACATCGCGAGCGGGGACCAATCAGAGAGTAGCTTTGCCTCTATAACGGCGCGAGAGTGAGACGTCATCGGTGAGCGACTAACGCTAGAAACAGTGGTGCGCGGAGAGGAGAGGTGAGTGTGATGGAGACCACGGGGAGCGGGAGGCTGGGCTCCTGGGTCTGGGAGAAGAAGTGTGTGAGGAAAAAGGCGGGTCTTTACAGCTTGGTTTTTGTTTTTTTGTTGTTTGTTTGTTTTGAGACGGAGTCTCGTTCTGTTGCCCAGGTTGGAGAGCAGTGGCGCGATCTCGGCTCATTGCAACCTCCGTCTCCCGGGTTCAAACGATTCTTCTGCCTCAGCCTCCAGAGTAGCTGGGATTACAGGCGCCCGCCACCACCCCTGACTAATTTTTGTATTTTTAGTAGAGACGGGGTTTCCCCATGTTGGTCAGGCTGGTCTCGAACTCCTGATCTCGTGATCCGCCCGCCTCGGCCTCCCAAAGTGCTGTGATTACAGGCATGATCCACCGCGCCTGGCCAGTTGTTTGTTTGTTTTGTCTGAGACGGAGTTTCGCTCTTGTTGCCCAGGCTGGAGTGCAGTGGCGCGATCTCGGTTCACTGCAACCTCCGCCTCCCGGATTCAAGCGATTCTCCTGCCTCAGCCTCCCGAGTAGCTGGGATTACAGGCGCGCACCACCACGCCCGGCTAGTTTTTTGTATTTTTAGTAGAGACGGGGTTTCACTATGTTGGCCAGGCTGGTCTCCAACTCCTGACCTCAGATGATCCACCCGCCTGGGCCTCCCAAAGTGCTGGGATTACAGGCATGAGCCACCGCTCCCGGCCTTTTACAGCCTGTTTACCCAAAAGTCTTAATATGCGCCTACCATGGTGTGGCCCTGGGGATGTGGAAGGAGCAAAAATTGTTCGCTACCCTCTTAGAGCTTTGGTTGATGCCTGGCAGACAGGCTTTATCAAATAATTACTTCATTAATCACAAATGTGTGAAGTGCCTTACTGTAGACACGCAGAGCGTGCGGGACACGTTATCACAAAGCAACCTCCTGTAGTCTAGAGTGGGGCGTGTGGGTCAGGGAGGTGGAACGTGAGAGCTGAAGGCTGAGGAGATGCTGGGCTACTAAGAAGTGAGGAGAGCCAGACGCCATGGCTCACTCCTGTAATCCCAGCACTTTGGGTGGCCCAGGCGAAAGGATCGCTTGAGCCCAGGAGTTTGAGACCAGCCTGAGCAACACAGTGAGACCCTGTCTCTACAGAAAAATTTAAAAATTAGCCGGGCGTGCTGGTGCGTGCCTGTCATCTCAGCTATCGGGAGGCTGAGGCGGGAGAATCGCTTGAGCCCAGGTGATCGAGGCTGCCGTGAGCTATGATGGCGCCACTGCACTGCAGCCTAGGTGACAGAGCAAGACATGGTCTCAAAAAAAAGAAAAGAAAAGAAAAAACAAAGTGAAGGAAAGGGCCACTTTAGTTACAAGGGACTCCTGTACAAAGACCTGGAGGCGGGAAGAGACCGATAATGTAACCAACTCAAGTTTCTGCTACTCAGAGGCAGAGGAAGTGGGGGGTGGTGAAAGTAAAGCAGCTTTACTGATCAAATGCTCGCAGATGAGAAATGGCCAAGCTAATGTCTTTAGAAGACCATTTCAAGCTTTAGGCTGGGGAGAGGGGCTTAAAAAGGGGAACTTTGAATGGGAGGCATACAGGAGTGGTGCTGGGTACAAGGTATGTGTGTCTTGCTCCGAAGGCTGTCTTGAGTCACGGGCCACCTGGAGCATGGGCTGGTGTCAAGTCAACAATGGCCACGTTGTAGATTGATCGCCTTGAGGTGATCTCTGGAGTTTTGCAGCTGGGTTTCCATACCTAGTTTGTTTCAAGATTAGCCCCTGCGGCGAGGCGCGGTGGCTTACGCCTGTAATCCCAACAGTTTGGGAGGCCAAGGTGGGTCGCTCACTTGAGGTCAAGAGTTCAAGACCAGCCTGGCTTACATAGTGAAACCTTGACTCTACAAAAAAAAAAAAAAAAAATTAGCTGGGCATGGTGGCAGGTGCCTGTAGTCCCAGCTACTCAGGAGGCTGAGGCAGGAGAATCGCTTGAACCCAGGAGGTGGAGGTTGCAAGTGAGCCAAGACTGCGCCACTGCACTCCAACCTGGGTGTCAGAGCCAGACTCCATCTTTAAAAAATAAATAAATAAAGATTAGCCCCTGGAACTTCTAAGTAAGCACATAGATAAGCCAGCAGTGCAAGACAGTATCTAGTGGGAAAGGAGGGAAACAAAGAATTTCAAAGTATGTTTTCAAGGCTAAAGGCAAGAAAGGAATAAGAAAGTTTGCAAATGCATTTGGAATCTACACCACTTGGTTCCAGTAAGTCTTAGCAAGGTGGCGGTCATAGGGGTGTGCTGCGTCTTGCACAGGTCGGAGCTGGAGACTCGCCAGTGAACAAAACAAACTAAAGCACCTGTTGTCGTGGAGCCTGCATGCTAGTGGGGTTGATAAAGAAGGACCAGGGTCTTCTGGGGGAGAATCATCGCTCAGTAATAAGGAGGGACTTTGTCGGGGCAAGTTTTTAGGGAACGCTGCTGTCCCTCCCCAGGCCTCGGGATGTCTCTGGCAGATGAGCTCTTAGCTGATCTCGAAGAGGCAGCAGAAGAGGAGGAAGGAGGAAGCTATGGGGAGGAAGAAGAGGAGCCAGCGATCGAGGATGTGCAGGAGGAGACACAGCTGGATCTTTCCGGGGATTCAGTCAAGACCATCGCCAAGCTATGGGATAGTAAGATGGTAAGAGGACAAGAGGTGTTCCTAGCAGGGGGCTCTAGACAGAATCTCCCAGAAGGGGGTGATACAGGCTTCTTTTTGAAGAGTGCTGGATTCTGACTGTCTTCTCCTTTCCTACAGTTTGCTGAGATTATGATGAAGATTGAGGAGTATATCAGCAAGCAAGCCAAAGCTTCAGAAGGTGCTTCCTCCCACTCTGTGCCCCTCCCCATCTCCTGTCTCTCCTGCCAGGCCCCCTGGCTCCCTGGCTGCTTGTGGCTGGGTATATCTCCTTCTCAGCCTTTTCCAGAGCCTTCTTTTTTTTTTGTTTCACCCCAACCCGTTCCCTTTTCCACTAAATATATATTGCATTGTAAAGCTCATGCTTCTTAAGTCCTTCCTGTGTGCTGAGCTTACTGATCATGATAGGACTCAGCTTGAGGTTTCCCAGACTTCACTGATTCACATGACCGGTTACAGGGTTTTTGCCACATCTATAAGCCGCTTATCCTATTATTTGCTTAACATATTCTTTGAGTCTAGGACTTTTTTTCTTAAATTTATCTGAGAAGGAAGCAAATTGCTACCATGAATGGAAAACTGGTATCATTTGGCAAAGACAAAGTCACTGTATAAAAATAGATATATAATTATTTAGGAACCACCTAAGGCCGGGCGCCGTGGCTCACGCCTGTAATCCCAGCACTTTGGGAGGCGGAGGCAGGTGGATCATGAGTTCAGGAGATCGAGACCATCCTGGCTAACACGGTGACACCCCGTCTCTACTAAAAATACAAAAAATTAGCCAGGCGTGGTGGCGGGTGCCTGTAGTCCCAGCTACTCAGGAGGCTGAGGCGGGAGAATGGCGTGAACCTGGGAGGCGGAGCTTGCAGTGAGCCGAGATCGTGCCACTGCACTCCAGCCTGGGCGACAGAGCAAGACTCCGTCTCAAAAAAAAAAAAAATAACCTAAAACCTTTTCTCATGCCCAAATTGAGAGAACACTAGCTTATCTCATGAGTGCTCAGACTCACTCTTAAGAGGGCAGTCCTGTTACCATTCCTATTCTTTTTTTTTTTTCCTTGAGATAGAGTCTCCCTCTGTCGCCCAGGCTGGAGTGCAGTGATGTGTTCTTGGCTCATTGCAACCTCCACCTCCCGGGTTCAAGCGATTCTCCTCCCTCAGCCTTATGTATAGCTGGGATTACAGGTATGCAACACCATGCCTGGCTATTTTGTATTTTTTAGTAGAGATGGGGTTTCACCATGTTGACCAGGCTAGTCTCGAACTCCTGACCTCAAGTAATCCGCCCACCTCGGCCTCCCAAAGTGCTGGGATTACAGGCATGAGCCACTACGCCCAGCCTTCCCATTCTTCTTGAATGGAATTTGTTGATGACAGGAAGCCATAGGAGGTTTCTGGGGAAAGAAGTGTAGTGAGAGGGCAGAGTTTCGGGAGACTCACTGCTTGCTTTCTTTAACGTTTACCTGGGCACCCAGTTGAATCGCCCAGGTCTTTGCTCTCAAAGTACTCAAGGTCTAGTGGAAGAGGCAGGCCAGGTTCCAGACAGCTATCAGTGGTGGTACCAAGCTGGGGACACCGGAGCCACAGGAGGGACTGGCTGACCCTGCCCCAGGTGTCAGGAAGAATCGATAGCTGAATTGGACTGTAGAGCATGAATGCATGTGCCAGGCAAAGAAAGGGAGAAGGGGGCCCAGGGAAAGACAGCGGCAGGCCCGGGGCCTCAGATATCCGGAGAGAGAATCCTGCAGAGTTCCAGATGCCAGGCCAAGGAATTTCTCCCTCCAGAGGGTTATGGGACACAGAAAGTGACATTTCCTGATGTCAGGCCAGGCTCAGGGATGGAGTCAGACCCCGTCACACCCGGTGTCTGGTTGAGGAGGCAGAGGTGAAACATCTCACAAGCTGTGGCAGTCCCTGTTTACTGGAGGTGCACAAGTGCTGCGGGTACACAGAGGAGGCGTCTGATCCTTCCAGAAAGGGAGGGAAGGATTCTGAGTCGCTGCCTGAGTCTTAAGGACTTAAAGAGCCATTTGAGCATCAGGGTTAGGAGTGCAGACTCTGACGCCGCCCTGCCTGGTGTCAGATCTGAGCTCTGCCTTCTACTGGCTGTGACATCAGGCAGTTAGTATTTGCATGACTTTTAAACACAACATCTTTTTGTTTGTTTGTTTTTTGAGACAGGGTCTCACTCTGTCACCCAGGCCAGAATGCAGTGGCACGATCCCAGCTCACTGCAGCCTTGACCTTGTGGGCTCAGGCGTTCCTGCCTCAGCCTCCCAGGCAGCTGGGACCACAGGTGTACACCACCATGCCTGGCTAATTTTTTTTCTTTAATTATGTGTAGAGATGGGGTCTCCCTATGTCGCCCAGGTTGCTCTCCAACTCCTGGGCTCAAGCAGTTCTCCTGCCTCAGCCTCCCAAAGTGCTGGGATTACAGGTATGAGCCACTGTGCCTGACCTCTTATTACTAAAGCACAAAGAAGCGTTTTCCAGAAACAGACGTGGGGTAAGGGATGCTCTGGGGAGAGGGAGCAGCACATGCAGAGGCCAGGAGGGGTCTGGCGCGGTGGCTCACGCCTGTCATCCCAGCACTTTGGGTGGTCAAGGCAGATGGATCACCTGAGGTCGGGAGTTCGAGACCAGCCTGCCCAACATGGTGAAACCCCGTCTCTACTAAAAATACAAACAAACAAAAAAAATTAGCCGGGCGTGGTGGCACATGCCTGTAATCCCAGCTACTCAGGAGGCTGAGGCAGGAGAATCGCTTGAACCCAGGAGGCGGAGGTTGCAGTGAGCTGAGATCATGCCACTATACTCTAGCCTGGGCAACCAGAGCGAAATTATGTCTCAAAAAAAAAAAAAAAGGCTAGGAGGAGTGGGTGTCTGGGGCACTGTGATCACTCCTTTATGGCTGGAGTGGAATAAAATGAGGTGTGGTGAGAGGATGGGGCGGGAAGGGCGGGAGGCCAGACTGCAGAGCTGCTGAGTCAGCAAACAGGAACGGGGGAACTCCCTGTGTGCCAGGTGCTGTCCTGGGTACTCGGCTGTGGGTACAGCCAACGCAGGCACAGCACTGGTCCCTGCAGAGCTTCCGGAGTTGGGGAGGCCCTGAATGTCAGTCTGAGGACTCGGTCATTAGCCTTGGGGCTGTGGGGAGCCGTAGGAGGTTTCACACGGTCAGTTCTGGGGTAGATGGGGTCAAGTCTAGACTGGTGTGGAGGGAGAGGGATTGAAGGCAGGAACACAAGTTCAGGGATGTCTGCAGACATCAGCCTGTCCCTGGTTTACTCTTCAGCCCCTCCTTCCTGACCCCTCCCAACTTCATCCTCCGCCTCCTCCAGCTGCGGGACCCGAGAGGGGGTAGGGATTTAGATACTCACACCCATGCCTCCGTGTCCTCACAGTGATGGGACCAGTGGAGGCCGCGCCTGAATACCGCGTCATCGTGGATGCCAACAACCTGACCGTGGAGATCGAAAACGAGCTGAGTGAGTGCTGGGGGGCAGGCGGAGACAGCCCCGTGTGACGTCCCTCACGCCCCCTCTCCCTTCCCCACTGGCCTTTCCCAGGGTCCTGCCCCTAAGCCCAAGCTCAGATCGAGGTTGACCTGCTGTCACAGAGTGGCTGAAATAAGAAGGAAGTGCGTTCTCTCGCGTATGAGTCTGAGGAGCACTCGGGGATGGTGTGGCCGCTTGGCTGCCTGTAGGGCCCCGGCTCTTTCCATCCTGTTGGTCGGCCACCTGCCTCACGGTGCGAGGTGACTGCCCCACCTCCAGCCATCACCTCCGCATTCCCACCAGCAAGGCGCTTCTTTTCTTTAAGAACATGTCACTGCAGCTCACGTTTTACAGACCAGAACTAATTCCCCTGGTCACACCTAGCGGTAAGGACGGCTGAGAAAGGCTGTATGCTGGTGCCCGTGTGCCAGGCCACAAGCCAGGGCTTCAGTTACTAAAGGAAGAAGGGGACATGGGTGTTAGGGCCAACCAGCAGAGTCTACCTTCCATCTCACCCGACAACCTCCTGTCCCGTTTACCCTAGACATCATCCATAAGTTCATCCGGGATAAGTACTCAAAGAGATTCCCTGAACTGGAGTCCTTGGTCCCCAATGCACTGGATTACATCCGCACGGTCAAGGTGAGCGCAGAGAAGGTGGGGTGCTTCTGCTGGCGTGAAGGGGCAGGCGGGGCTCACTCTCGGACCCCCTCCCAGAGGCCTCAGGGTCTGGAGACGATGGAGAGGAGTGGACGAGGGCTCAGTGGTCTGCTCTGCCCAGCGTGGGAGGGACGGAGCCTGGACAGGACTTTCTCAGGGCTCCCCTCCAACCCCAGTCTCCCGAGAGGGCTTCCCCGCTGGCCTGACCCACGCTGCTCCCGCTGTGGTTGGAGCCGGTGGCATTGGAGTTGACATCCGAAGGTTGACACAGGGCAGGCACACGGAGATTTGGGGCAGAGAGACGTCTAAGTGCAGAGAGCTGGAGAGGGAACAAGTGGGGAGGAAGTGAGGCGGGGAAGGAGGGGACGGGGAAGAGGTCGGATCACGTCCAGCCTTTGGGTCTTAGGAGAAAGCCAAGGAAGGGTTTCGGAAAAGAGGGGCAGGTGTGCGTGAGGGCGGGGAGAGGAGGAGGTCCCCACGCATGTCCAGGAAAGGATTAGGATGGCGGTGGGGAAGCCCCTGCAGGGAAGCGAGGCCGCGGATTTGCACTCCGACTTGACGCAGGCCAGAGGCTTGTGAGGCCACAGTCTTTCCAGACGCCACTCTGCCCGGGCTCCGTTTCCAGGTCAGCGAAAGCAGGGCAGATGGTGTGGATGCTTGACGTGGTGGAGGCAGGAATGGTGTGGATGCTTCAGGCGGTGGAGGCAGGAGAGGCCCCCAGTGCAGAGACCCTGACTGTCCCAGTGTCCCTAAGAAGAGACCTGAGGAGGTGCTGAGCAAGAGAGGTTCTCGAGCCTTCCTGAGTTCCCGAGCCTCCCCTATCTTCTCTGCTCGCCCCCAGGAGCTGGGCAACAGCCTGGACAAGTGCAAGAACAATGAGAACCTGCAGCAGATCCTCACCAATGCCACCATCATGGTCGTCAGCGTCACCGCCTCCACCACCCAGGGGTATGTCCGCTTCGAGGGAGGCGCCGGGCCCTAATGGGATTGGGGATTAGGCTGGAGCTACACACGCAGGTGTACACACGCACACACACATACACACATGCACACACACACACAGAACCGAGAGGGCTGGGGCTGGGCACACCAGGCAGGCGGGAGATCCAGGAGGCTGGGCCCACCCGCCCCTGCAGGCAGCAGCTGTCGGAGGAGGAGCTGGAGCGGCTGGAGGAGGCCTGCGACATGGCGCTGGAGCTGAACGCCTCCAAGCACCGCATCTACGAGTATGTGGAGTCCCGGATGTCCTTCATCGCACCCAACCTGTCCATCATTATCGGGGCATCCACGGCCGCCAAGATCATGGGTGAGTCCCCGGGCTGGGTCCCATGGAGCGGGGGTCTGCTGACACTGTGACCTTGGGAAAGCTACATCCTTTTCTGTAGAATGGGGGCTTTGGCACCTGGACCTCAGCACCCCGTCTCCCTGGACATCACAGAGGTCAGCCAGCCTGGCACACAGCAAAGCCTCGTCTGTGGGAAAAACACTCACCCACAGCTCCTTCTCCCTCCCCTGTGCCGGAAACCCAGAGATGACCACACCCAGGCCCTGTTGTCAGGGAGCTCCTGGTTTGGTGAAAATGGTTCCAAAACACAGCCATCCCTGGAACGGCGTTAGTGTGGCTTAGCACAAACGTGGTGGTCAGCTTCCTGTTGGGGGCCTCCTCCCTGCACCCCCAGGCCAGCTGCCCTCCCTCTCTGAGCCTCCTTTGCATCTGCCCCTTGCGGAATGGGCCAGGTCGCCCGCCTGGCAGGGCCATCGAGGAATCCAACCAGAACTTCATGTAAAGGTGCCCAGCACACGTCGAGCCCCCAGGCAGATTTACTCACCCCCACCTCTCTGCTTTCTTCTGACCGCCCCCCCTTCCTCCCTCCCTCCCACCGCAGGTGTGGCCGGCGGCCTGACCAACCTCTCCAAGATGCCCGCCTGCAACATCATGCTGCTCGGGGCCCAGCGCAAGACGCTGTCGGGCTTCTCGTCTACCTCAGTGCTGCCCCACACCGGCTACATCTACCACAGTGACATCGTGCAGTCCCTGCCACCGGTGAGCCCACTGCGTCATGGCCCCTCCCCCGGCCCCCCTGGAGCCTTCCGCTGTGCCCAGACAGCCTGAGCAGCCACCCACCATCTGGCCCAGCTGACGGTAGCACTCAGGAGCTGGGAACAGGGTGGCATGGGACGTGAGAGCCAGGGCTCTGCAGCAGACCAGCTCCAGCACCCACCAGTCAGGTGACTGTGGGCAAGAGGCATGAGCGCCCTGTGCCTCAGTCTCCTCCCCTATCAAATGGGAGCACAGCGCCTGCTTCATGAGTTGGGACGAGGGCTCAGTGCACATGAAGCACTTACAGTTCAGGCCTAGCTCACGACAAGCAGCGTCGGGTTAGCGTGCAACTGCTCCGAAGACCACCCTCAGGTTTGACCATTCACTAGAAAGACTCACAGAATCCACTGAGGGCTGCACATCAGCCATGGGGAGAGACACACAGGAGGGGCAGGAGAGGTCACCAACCTCGGAGCTTCCCGGGTCCTCTCCCTGCAGTCGGGACACATCACCATCCCAGCATCGACGCCTGACAGCACACACACAGGCCCGCTAGCCTGGCGGGGCGCAGTGGCTCGTGCCTGTCATCCCAGCACTTTGGGAGGCCGAGGCGGGCAGATCACCTGAGGTCAGGTGTTCGAGACCAGCCTGGCCAACATGGTGAAACCCCATCTCTACCAAAAATACAAAAAACTAGCTGGGTATAGTGGCACACACTTATAATCCCAGCTACTTGGGAGGCTGAGGCAGGAGAATCGCTTGAACCCAGGAGGTGGAGGTTGCAGTGAGCTAAGATCATACCACTGCCCTCCAGCCTGGGTGACAGAGTGAGACTCTGTCTCAAAAAAAAAAAAAAACAAGACAGGTTCTGGGACAGACAGGCCTGGGTCCAGACCCTGCTCTGTCCGACTGTGGCGAGTTACCTCAGGCTCACGGCCCTGTGCCCTGCCTGGCCTCCCCCAGGGATGGGGAGAACAATAGCACTGATGGCCAAGGCTGGGCAGGCACTTCCTGGCCCCACCCCCCAGCCCTGTGTGGGGTTTTTTTTGTGGTCTTTTCTGCGACCCTTTAGGTCAGGCACTGCTACTGGAACACACCCAGGGAGGCTGGCAGGTCACCCCATCCTGGGAGGAGAGAGAGTGGGCGATAGAACCCAGGACGGGTGGGCCTGGGGCTCGGGGCTCCAGCTGCCTCACTGCACCCCTGCCATCGCCACCGCCTCACAGCCCTGGGCATATGGGTTAAACCTGCCCCAGGGAGCCTGATGTCTTGTCACCCAGGCCTCTGCCTCTTCATTTGGCCATCTCACATCGGTCCAGGCACAGGCCGTAGACACCACAGGCCTGTAAGGGAGGCCAGGGCTGGCCATCGCTTCACTGTGGCTGACAGCTGGGCTCTGTTTGCAGTTTGGATTGGAACCCTGGCTCCATCACCTGCTGGCTGTCTCCCTGGCCACATGACTTGAAGCCTTGGTTTCCACATCTGAAAAGGGGGTGCAATGATCACACCAGCCCAATATTTGAATATTTGATGAGATGATCCGAGGGGCGTGCTTAGCATGGGGCTGGCATCCAGGCCGAGTGCACTCCCCCCGGCGTCTCCACAGTCACCACCGTCCTCGTTGTCAGCGTGCCTTACTGTCATCCTTACCTGATGGCCACTTATCAGCTGGGACATGGCTCTGTGCCCTGCCCTCATCCCCTCTTCCTGTGAAGTAGGAGCTGAGAGCACACACCTCTAGAGCCCAAGGGTGGAAAGCCCCCTTCCAGGACCCCAGGTAGAGCCAGAGGAGGAGCGCGCGCGGTTGCTTTGCTGTTACCTCTGTCTGTCTGTCTCACACAGATTCCACCCCCGTTTTCCGTTGCTCCAGGATCTGCGGCGGAAAGCGGCCCGGCTGGTGGCCGCCAAGTGCACACTGGCAGCCCGTGTGGACAGTTTCCACGAGAGCACAGAAGGGAAGGTGAGGAGGGAAAGGTGAGGGGCGGCCGGGCGTCTTTTCCTCTGGGCCTGGGGTGTCTCTGCAGGGAGACCCTCAGCAGGGAGCCCACCCCAGCGAGCACTGTCCTACCAAGGCGGAGGCAGTGCTTCTGCCCACCCTCCCTGGGGTCAGGCACCCCCTTCCCCAGTGGGGTTTCCTAGGTCTGCTGTTGGAAGGTAGCATGAACCTACTGGCTTCAAACAGTGCAGGTGTGGCCGGGTGCAGTAGCTCACGCCTGTAATCCCAGCACTTTGGGAGGCCAGGGTGGGCGGGTCACAAGGTCAGGAGTTTGAGACCAGCCTGGCCAACATGGTGAAACCCCATCTCTACCAAAATTAGCCGGGTGTGGTGGCACGCACCTGTAATCCCAGTTACTCAGGAGGCTGAGGCAGGAGAATTGCTTGAACCTGGGAGACGGAGGTTGCAGTGAACTGAGATTGCATCATTGCACTCCAGCTTGGGTGACATAGCGAGACTCCATCTAAAAACAAAAACAAAAAACAGTACAGGTTTATTATCTGTGGTCCTGTAGGTCAGAAGTCCAAAATGAGTTTCACTGGGCTGAAGTCAGGGTGTCATCCTGGAGCGTTCCTTCTGGGGGATTCAAGGGATAATCCATTCCCTTGTCTTTTCCAGCTTCTAGGGGTCACTGGCACCCCTTAGCTCGTGGCCCTCCCTCTGTCTGCGGAGCCAGCCACATAGCACCCTCAGACCTCTCTCTGACTCTGCTTCTGTCTTCATATCTCGGCCTCTGTTTTTGTTCCCCTCTTCTATTTTAAGGGCCCCTGTGGCTATACTGAGCCTACTCAGATGGTCCAGGATAGTCTTCCCAGCTCACAATCCTTAAAATCCTTCTTAACCTCTTCACGTCCCTTTTGCCCTGTGATTCTGGGAATTAGAACATGGGCCTCTTTGGGCATGTGTGTGTTGGTGGGGGCGTAATTTGCCTTCCACACCAGGATCTGTCCCCGCTGCAACAGGGGATGTTATT
This sequence comes from Homo sapiens, assembly GCF_000001405.40. NCBI lineage: Eukaryota > Metazoa > Chordata > Mammalia > Primates > Hominidae > Homo > Homo sapiens. The sequence continues at coordinate 102,115 of NW_003571057.2, forward strand.
CAAGTAATTATTCAGTTACCTTCTGTCTTCCTTGGTAGATGTACTCGGGAGAGGAGACGTTTTCTGTCTTGTGAACTGTCGTTTGCCAAGCACCCGGCCTGGCACAGCGTTCAGGTGTTCCGTGTCCCCTTCTCCTTTCCCTCTCCCCATCTCACCCCTGGTCTGGGTGTGGGGGTGCAGCTGTGAGTAGCACAGACAGGACCCCTGCCCCGTGGCGTGGACATTCTTGTTGGGGCCGGGTCAAAGAGACAGTCAACAGGTGAACTCTGTCCTGCGTCTAGCGGTGCTAAGTCAACACCAAGAAGAAAAAGAAAGGGGGTGGCGGTGAGGCAGCATTAGGTGCTGATTTAACTAAGGCACGTGGATACTCGGGGGGTCCGCTCAGAGGAGGCCTGGGTGGGCAGCCCACGCGAGCAGCTGCAGGACCTCCCCCTCGCCCTCCCCAGGTGGGCTACGAACTGAAGGATGAGATCGAGCGCAAATTCGACAAGTGGCAGGAGCCGCCGCCTGTGAAGCAGGTGAAGCCGCTGCCTGCGCCCCTGGATGGACAGCGGAAGAAGCGAGGCGGCCGCAGGTGAGGGGCCCTGGGGGTCCGGTAGGCATGGGGGTCATGGAGGGGAGAAGCCGGCGTCCTCCTCCCAGCCGACTCCCTGGCGCCGCCCACCCACCCGTCCCCAGGTACCGCAAGATGAAGGAGCGGCTGGGGCTGACGGAGATCCGGAAGCAGGCCAACCGTATGAGCTTCGGAGAGGTCAGACTCCCAGAGCGCCCTCCTCAACCCCACAGCCAGCCAGCCGCCACCGCCCTCTGCCTCCTGCCACCGCCCCTCCTCTCGTCCTGTGGCCCTGGCTCATGTCTAGGGCGCTGCCCCAGCCTCCTCCCCCCCGGCCTCTATTCTCGTTTCCATCCATTCAGCCCCAAAGCGACCCTCGCGGCCCTTGGAGCCTGTGTCTCCGCTGCTTAGAGCCCCCGCGGCTTCCCATCGCCCCGGGCTCCTTGGCCGGTTCCTCCCTGCCCAGAGGCTCCTTAGTGCCCTGCTGCACGGCCGCCCCGTCCCTGGGCCCCGCCAGTCTCCTCTGTTATCCCAGCGTCATCCCCTTGGTCCTGCAGGACCGAACTCAGAGGCCACCTCATCCTATTAAACCTGTTCTGGTTCCTGACATCCCCCGACCCACACGAGTAAGGAAGGAATGGCCTCCCAACTCTGAGCTCACAGAGCAGTGCTGGGACCGGGCCCCTCTCAGGCTCCCCGGCATCCCCCGCGTGTGTGGGCCCCCAGGCCTCAGCCGGGCCGAGTGGGTACCGGAGCAGGTGCCCGTGGGACCGGCCGGCTGGTGACCGCTGGGCTTCCGGCTGGTGGAGGGGGTGCCTCGGTGGCTGGAGGGCAGGGCCTGGTCGCTGAACTGCAGGGCGCCTCCTCTTCCCCCTAGATCGAGGAGGACGCCTACCAGGAGGACCTGGGATTCAGCCTGGGCCACCTGGGCAAGTCGGGCAGTGGGCGTGTGCGGCAGACACAGGTAAACGAGGCCACCAAGGCCAGGATCTCCAAGACGCTGCAGGTATGGGCCAGACCCAGGTGGGGCTGGGGACCGAGGGACACAAGGTGGGGGGAGCCCAGATCGCAGCCTCCCTGTCCTCCCCACAGCGGACCCTGCAGAAGCAGAGCGTCGTATATGGCGGGAAGTCCACCATCCGCGACCGCTCCTCGGGCACGGCCTCCAGCGTGGCCTTCACCCCACTCCAGGTACCTCCCCTGGGCCGGCTCTGTCCCCAGCCCTGAGACCTTGGCAAGGCCCCTTGCCCTCTGCCCCTGTGAAGAAGGCCAGGATGAGTCTCCTCATGGGGCTGTTGTGGAGGGTGTGGTGACGAGGTATGCAGAGGACGTAGACAGCTCCTGGCACACAGGAAGAGGTTAGCAGAGACGAGAGCCCAGCGCTGAGCAGTCCTCGTGAGCACGCACTGCTTTAGAACCAGGCCCACAGCTGTGTTCAGGGCACCCAGTTCCTCTGTCGGGCTGTGAGCGGGTAACACTGCTCAGCCTCCAGGCCCTCCAGTTCAAAACGGCCAGGACGGTTAAGGTAACCTCAGGACCCCACTCGAGAAAGTTCCCGGCTAGGCGGGCTTGGATGTCAAGTGTGGGTCCAGGCCCCAGCCAGTCAGCAGTGAGCAGCGTGGAGCATGGCAGTCACCGCATCGTCGGAGCCTCGGTTTACCATCCACAGAGCAGGGCGAGCCTGCACCACGGAGGCGAGACAGCAGCGAGCTCATCTGCCCAGTCAGCGGGTGTCTACGCAGCACCTGCTGAGTTCTGTCAGTGTTCCCGGCTCTGGGGATGAAGCAACGAATGAGAGACAAGTCTTACCTTCTTGGAGCCAGTGGGTGGCCGGGCGCAGACAGCTCAGTAAGATGTCCAGTGTAGGAGAAGGCAGAAATGCCAGGCCGGGCGCAGACAGCTCAGTAAGATGTCCAGTGTAGGAGAAGGCAGAAATGCCAGGCTGGGCGCAGACAGCTCAGTAAGATGTCCAGTGTAGGAGAAGGCAGAAATGCCAGGCCGGGCGCAGACAGCTCAGTAAGATGTCCAGTGTAGGAGAAGGCAGAAATGCCAGGCCGGGCGCAGACAGCTCAGTAAGATGTCCAGTGTAGGAGAAGGCAGAAATGCCAGGCCGGGCGCAGACAGCTCAGTAAGATGTCCAGTGTAGGAGAAGGCAGAAATGCCAGGCTGGGCGCAGACAGCTCAGTAAGATGCCCAGTGTAGTAGAAGGCAGAAATGCCAGGCCGGGCGCGGTGGCTCACGCCTGTAATCCCAGCACTTTGGGAGGCCGAGGCAGGTGGATCATGAGGTCAGGAGATCGAGACCATCCTGGCTAACACGGTGAAACCCCGTCTCTACTAAAAATACAAAAACTTAGCCGGGCGTGGTGGCGGGCGCCTGTAGTCCCAGCTACTTGGGAGGCTGAGGCAGGAGAATGGCGTGAACCCGGGAGGCGGAGCTTGCAGTGAGCCGAGATCGCGCCACTGCACTTCAGCCTGGGCGACAGAGCCAGACTCTGTCTCAAAAAAAAAAAAAAGAAGGCAGAAATGCCAGGGAGGGGAGGAGGTGGAAGGTAGGAGGTGGGACAGGGGAGGCTCTCGTTTCGGAGCAGCCAGGGAGGGCCTCTTTGAGAAGATGAGGCCAGTGGCTGTGCCTTTCCAAGCCTCCCCTCCTCCATCATGAGGTGCTCAGGACTGAAAAGAACGCACAGGAAGCACTTGGCACTGGGCTCACCATTAGAGCCCAATGACTGGGTCCTGTTATTATTTTTAGAGACGGGGGCTCGCTCTGTTGCCTTGAAAATATTTAGGAAGTGCCAGCCAGGTGTTGGCTCCCATTGCTGCCACTATGATCGTCAGTGGTGTTGGTGTGATTTGTGCTAGGACCTCGGGCCAGCCATGTCCCCCAGGGACTCAGTTTCCTTATGCAGAAACTGGGCAGGATTGGCTGTCCTCAAGCATTGGTTGTTTTTAGCACCCCTGAGGAACTTCGTACAAATCCAGGCGCCCTGGTTCCTCCCCACCCTCTCCCTCTAGACCCACTGAGTCAGAATCTCCCAAGACAGGGCAACTCCAGGGACAGGCAAACTGTCTCATGCCCACCAAGGCCTGAGTGCCATGGGGAAGGGCCTGGGGGGCTCTGATGGGTCACAGTTGGGGCCTTCTCCTCACCTAACCCATCATCCTCTCTCCCTCACCTGCCCAGGGCCTGGAGATTGTGAACCCACAGGCGGCAGAGAAGAAGGTGGCTGAGGCCAACCAGAAGTATTTCTCCAGCATGGCTGAGTTCCTCAAGGTCAAGGGCGAGAAGAGTGGCCTTATGTCCACCTGAATGACTGCGTGTGTCCAAGGTGGCTTCCCACTGAAGGGACACAGAGGTCCAGTCCTTCTGAAGGGCTAGGATCGGGTTCTGGCAGGGAGAACCTGCCCTGCCACTGGCCCCATTGCTGGGACTGCCCAGGGAGGAGGCCTTGGAAGAGTCCGGCCTGGCCTCCCCCAGGACCGAGATCACCGCCCAGTATGGGCTAGAGCAGGTCTTCATCATGCCTTGTCTTTTTTAACTGAGAAAGGAGATTTTTTGAAAAGAGTACAATTAAAAGGACATTGTCAAGATCTGTCCTTGGGGAGTGATCATTTTTCAAACAGCCGGGGCAACTAGAAGAATCAGAGCTGTGGAGCTTTGAGAAAAGAGCTTGGCCCTCGGGTCCAAGCGGTGTCTAGGCCCACTCCCTTCCCCGTTACTTTCTCGTCATGGGATCCCAGAAGGAAAAAGCCCTCTCCAACCCCCTGGAGAGCCGCAGTCACTTTGATAGCAAATGATGTGGCTGCCAACAGCCGCAGATCTCAGCGCAGGCCGACCGGGATTGCTGTCCACCTCAGGCCAGCCTCCTCACCTTTCCAAGCCTCCACACCTACGCCCAGGTGCCCAGGACTGGAAAGAATGCACAGAAAGCACTTAGCATGGGACTTGCCATCAGCGCCCTATAACCAGGTCCTGTTATGATTGGGTTTTTTAGAGACGGGGTCTCTGTTGCCCAGGTTGGAGTACAGTGATGCGATGAAGCTCACTAAAGCCTCAAACTCCTGGGCTGGGATTACAGGCATGAACCAGCACAGCTGGCCTCCTGGTTAATTTAAATTTTTTTTTTTTTTCTGAGGTGGAGTCTCGCTCTGTTGCCCAGGCTAGAGTACAGTGGTGCAATCTTGGCTCACTGCAACCTCTACCTCCCGGGTTCAAGCAATTCTCCTGCCTCAGCCTCCTGAGTAGCTGGGATTACAGGCATGTGCCACCATGTCCCGCTAATTTTTATAGTTTTTAGTAGAGACAGGGTTTCGCCATGTTGGTCAGGCTGTTCTCGAACTCCTGACCTCATGATATGCCCACCTCAGCCTCCCAAAGTGCCAGGATTACAGGTGTGAGCCACCACCCCAGCCCCATTTTTAAATTGTTTATAGACAGGGTCGTGCTCTATTACCCAGGCTGGGCTTGAACTCCTGTGCTCAAGTGAGCTTTCCACCTCAGCCTCCCTAAGTGTTGAGATTACAGGCTTGAGCCGCTGTGTCTGGCCTCTTATTATTATTATTATTTTTTTTTTTGAGACAGAATCTCACTCTGTTGCCCAGGCTGGAGTGCAGTGGGATGATCCTGGCTCATGGCAACCTCCACCTCCCGGGTCCAGGTGATTCTCCTGCCTCAGTCTCCTGAGTAGCTGGGATTACAGGCGCCCATGGGTTTTGTTTGTTTGTTTGTTTGTTTGTTTGTTTTTCAGACGGAGTCTTGCTCTGTCACCCAGGCTGGAGTGCAATGACATGGTCTTGGCTCACTGCAAACTCCGCCTCCCAGGTTGAAGTGATTCTCCTGCCTCAGCCTCCCGAATAGCTGGGATTACAGGCGCCCGCCACCACGCCTGGCTAATTTTGTATTTTTAGCAGAGACGGGGTTTCACCATTTGGGCCAGGCTGGTCTTGAATTGCTGACCTTGTGATCTGCCCGCCTCGGCCTCCCAAAGTGCTGGGATTACAGGTGTGACCCACCGCGCCCGGCCGAGATGGGGTTTTACCATGTTGGCCAGGCTGGTCTCGAACTCCTGACCTCAAATAATCCGCCTGCCTCGTCTCCCAAAGTGCTGGGATTACCCTGTGCCTGGCCCAGCCTCTTATTTATAACCAGTGTTGAGGGACTGTGTGGAGCCGGGCACAGGCGAAGCAGGCAGGCTTCCTGCCCTGGTAGGACCTGGTTGCTATAAAAGTCCTGCCAGGTGAGCAGAAGGAGCACACTTCCCCTCCCCTGACCTCCAGTCACTGAGTCTCGGGAACCGGGGCTCGGCCAGGAGCGCCTTTACTTGGACTGAGGGGAATGTGGCCTGCAGACAGTCAGGAGAGTTTCCAGGGGACAGCAGGGGCTGTCCTAGCGGGTGGCATGAAACCGTCTCCCTGGAGAGGTTAAGGAAGAGCAACTCCAGGGGTTCCATTTACTATGTGCTCCGGAGCTGGGCTACACGGTGGTACTAAGGAGGCAGCGCTAGTCACCTGACCTACAAGGTCGGGCTTCTGTTAGTTACCTAAGAGATGTTACCAGGACAAGCAGCAGCCTGGTGGGAAGATGATGCCTCCAGGTCTCTACCTCCTCTCTCTCTCCCTCCTTCTCTCCACCTCCCCTCTCTCTCCCTCCCTCTCTCCACCTCCCCTCTCTCTCTTCCTCCCTCTCCACCTCCCCTCTCTCTCCCTCCCTCTCTCCACCTCCCCTCTCTCTCCCTCCCTCTCTCCACCTCCCCTCTCTCTCTCCCTCCCTCTCTCCACCTCCCCTGTCTCCACCTCCCCTCCCTCTGTCCCTCCCTCTCTCCACCTCCCCTCCCTCTGTCCCTCCCTCTCTCCACCTCCCCTCTCTCTCCCTCCCTCTCTCCACCTCCCCTCTCTCTCTTCCTCCCTCTCCACCTCCCCTCTCTCTCTTCCTCCCTCTCCACCTCCCCTCTCTCCCTCCCTCTCTCCACCTCCCCTGTCTCCACCTCCCCTCCCTCTGTCCCTCCCTCTCTCCACCTCCCCTCTCTCTGTCCCTCCCTCTCTCCACCTCCCCTCTCTCTGTCCCTCCCTCTCTCCACCTCCCCTCTCTCTCCCTCCCTCTCTCCACCTCCCCTCTCTCTCCCTCCCTCTCTCCACCTCCCCTCTCTCTGTCCCTCCCTCTCTCCACCTCCCCTCTCTCTCTCCCTCCCTCTCCACCTCCCCTCTCTCCACCTCCCCTCACTCCACCTTCCCTCTCTCTCCCTCTCTCTCCTCCCCTCTCCCTCCCTCCACCTCCCCTCCCTCTCTCCACCTCCCCTCCCTCTCTCCCTCCCTCCCTCCCTCTCTCCACCTTCCCTCTCCCTCCCTCCACCTTCCCTCTCCCTCCCTCCACCTTCCCTCTCCCTCCCTCTCCACCTTCCCTCTCTCCTCCCCTCTCCCTCCCTCTCTCCACCTCCCCTCTCTCCCTCCCTCCCTCCCTCTCTCCACCTTCCCTCTCTCCCTCCCTCTCTCCACCTTCCCTCTCTCTCTCTCCCTCCCTCTCTCCAGCTCATGCTATCTGGGTCTCCCTCTGACTTTCTAGGTCCTGTCTGAGATTTTGCTCTTTCTGTTCCCCTCTCTGGGCCTCCCCGTCACCACTCTGTGTATCTCTGGATCCCTGTCCTTCAACCCAGAGCTCTGTCTCTGGACCTCAGTGGCAATCTCTAAATCTCTCTCCTTCCTCAAGTCAAAAAGTCGACACACTCAGGAGGTTCCCTTGAGTGGCTGAACTACCCCAGGTTGTATAACTCAAGTCTGTTTTCTCAATGTTATCCCTGACCCTCTGGGTCAACCCTGTTTGAAAATGACAACCTTTGCTGATCTCTACATACTGGTCTGCCAGGGAAGGACCCGTGGTCCACAACCCTGTTCAGAATCCCCCATCTCCCTTGGCCAAAATATCCGGCATCTACCAATGGGGCTGTGGCATGAGGGTGTCAATCTCAGGAAAGGAATCTTGAGTCGCCTGGGCCTGCAGCCCTCGTACTTTCAGAACAGAGGTTCTCAGAATTTAATGCGCTTCAGAATTACACTGAGGACTTGTTAAAACATAGTTGCTGGGCCCAGAGTTTCTGATTCAGTCTAGGGTGGGGCTCAAAAATGTGCCTTTCAAACAAGTTCCCAGGTGATGGGTACGTGCCTGACCCAAGGCCACATTTCAGAAGCACTGCTCTAGAAAAGAAGACTCTGTAAGCGGCTCTTACGCTGGGCGCGGTGGCTCACGCCTGTAATCCCAGCTACTTGGGAGGCTGAGGTGGGAGAATGGCTTGAACCTGGGAGGCAGAGGTTGCAGTGAGCCGAGATGGCGCCCCTGCACTCCAGCCTGGGTGAGAGAGACACTGGCTCCCACCTCAAGATCGTTTTAGTTGGTCCAGTGTAAGCCTGGGTATCTGGACTTTTTTATTTTTTATTTTTATTTTTTGAGACGGCGTCTTGCTCTGTCACCCAGGCTGGAGTGCAATGGCGCAATCTCGGGTCACTGCAACCTCTGCCTCCCAGGTTCAAGTGATTCTCCCGCCTCAGCCTCCCGAGTAGCTGGGATTACAGGCACATGCCACCATGCCCAGCTAATTTTTGTATTTTTAGTAGAGACGGGGTTTCACCATGTTGGCCAGGCTGGTTTTGAACTCCCTACCTCAGGTGATCCGCCCACCTCGGCCTCTGAGAGTGCTGGGATTACAGGTGCAATGGCGCAATCTAGGCTCACTGCAGCCTCTGCCTCCCGGGTTCAAGTGATTCTCCCGGCCCGGCCTGGCCTCTAATTTAAAAAAAATTTTTTTTTTTTAAAGTTCCTCAGGTAGGCCAGGCGCAGTCGTCACGCCTGTAATCCCAGCACTTTGGGAGACTGAGGCGAGCGGATCACCTGAGGTCAGGAGTTCGACACCAGCCTGGCCAACATGGTGAAACCCCGTCTCTACTAAAAATACAAAAATTAGTCGGGCGTGGTGGCGGGCGCCTGTAATCCCAGCTACTCGGGAGGCTGAGGCGGGAGAATCACTTGAACCCCGGGAGGCAGAGGCTGCAGTGAGCCTAGATTGTGCCACTGCTCTCCAGCCTGGGGGACAAGAGCAAGTCTTCGTCTCAACAACAACAACAATAACAACAAGTTCCTCAGGTGACTCTGATGTGCAGCCAAGTTGGAAAGTCATCGCTAGATCCGCGGTGTGCAAAGTGAACTGCGGACCGTGGACTGCGGCACTTGTTAGAAAAGCAGAATTTGCATTTTAACACATTCCTAGGTGATTCCGGAGATGTCTGAGAAGCGATACTTTGTCCAGGGGCCACAGTTTGAATAGCAGAGCTCTAGAACAATAACTCTAGGCTTCATTCCCGTTGTCTGTGTGTGGGCCTACGAATATGCATTTTCGCAAGCATTCCTCCTCCCCCTTGCCTCAGACCATTCTGATGCGGGTGGTGCTGAACGGCTCCATCCTCCTTCACGTTCACCTCTCCCTGGGATTTATCTTACTTTCCACCACCTAGACAGGAAGGGGCGAATCTGGCTTCCCATCTCGGTTGTGTGACCCTGGGCAAATGCCTCCCAGTTCGTGGAAGTCTCAGTGTCTAGTAAGTTTTCAATCACAAGTCATTCCTCACATTCATTCATCTATTCCTTTGACAAATGGTTACTGACTACTTCCTGCGTGCTAAGTGCTGGAGATGCAAAATCCAGACAGGGAAACCGAATAATTACGAAAATGACGGTAGACGTACAAAAATAAATCCTAACGAACAAGGCGCGCAGGAGCGCTCCGCCCGGGAGGGAGGTCAGGGAAGTTTTCTCTCCAAGAAGACAACAGAGCTGAGACCTGAAACGAGCAGGCATTAGGGAGCCACCCGTCTCCTCTGTACCTTCTGCAGCGTCCTCAACACACTAAGGAAGCGGAGACGCAGAGGAGAATGACTGTCCTACCATCTGGTCGCCTAACCAGGCAGGGGCAGGACAAAAACTCCATGCCTCACGCTTCCCAACCAATTCTGCTATGCACGGTGCCAGAGACTTAAAGCAGTGTCTCTGGTCCCTTTCTTCTTTCACTCAGCAAATAATGAATTTCAGAGATGTGCCAACATAGAGGCACTTGGAGAAAGACGAGGCAGCTGAGAGGGAAGCTGCTTACCTGGCCGGGACGCAACGGTTGCGACCAAGTCCCACTTCTGCCAGCTACATACACCCTCTTTCACACGCTCTACGAGCAGCTACCGCCCACTCGCCACGCTATTGGTCAAACTAGCATGAATGATAACTTTTAGGGCCAACGAAGAAAAAGGGGTGGACTTTCTTGCCCAGCTCCTCCCACTTGGCCCTGTGGCTGTTTTGATTGGCAGATGACTTCGGCTCGGCCCCCGCTTTAAAGGCACCTGTCTGTCTCCCATTAGGTACGCGGCCCCTAACGCCCACACTCCATGCCTTCCTCCGCTTTCCCCACCCACTTCCAGGACCAACCAATGACTTCAAGGCAGAATATGCCCCCGCAACCAATTAAAAAGAGCTCTAAACTTGACGGACGACTTCCCGCCCCTGGACTGTCGTAGCTCCTCCCCCAGACCAATTGTTTTAAGAGAGGGGGGCGGATACATCCAATCAGCACGACACAGGTCTCTTGATTGACGTTCGGGTCCTCGCGCTGGCGTGTTGTGCCCTGAGGCGGGAGGAGGAGGAGGAGCGGGGAGGAAAACCTGAGCCAATCCTAGCAGCCTGCGCGGGAGGCCAATCGAACGCCGCGCCTTGGAGCGATCACCCAATCCGCGAAAGGGGGCAGGGCGCATCCCTGCCAGGAACCAATAGAAAGCCTCCAAGGGTCAGGAGCGACGTTCAGCAGGAGCAATGACTGGCCTATATTCGGGACTCGGGGGCGGGTCGGCGCCAGAGACGAGAAGAGAGGAGGGGAGGCCTCCTCCGCCGCCGCCATCTTGGACCGGGCCCGGTCAGCTTCCGCGGAGCCATCGGCAGACGCCGCGGCCTCCCTTGAGCCCCGACCCCCGTCGTCAGAACAACCCCGGGCCCACTCCCCCAACCCCACTTCCGCTTCGCGCCGCTATCGCGATAGCGCCCGGGCCCGGGGCGCGAGAAAAAGGCGGCGGGCGCTCGCCTCCCCCGCCTGTCGCGATACGCTCCTCAGCGGCGGCGCCAGCTCCTGTGGTGAGAGCGTCAGGCTCGACTGGGCCGGACCCCTTCCCTTCCTCCCCCCGGCGCCATCGGCCGCCCTCCCCGCCGCCTCCCGCCCTGGCGACACCGCCGTCTGTCGCGACATGGCCTCCCCTCGCCTGCCCCCTGCCGCCGCCTCTGCAGCGCGGGGCTCCCGGCGGGGGGCGGCTCCCTCCCTCTCGCCCTCCCGTTCCTGCGCCTCTTTCACGTTCCTCAGCGCCTCCCGGGGGTCCTTCCGCGACCCGGACCCCGGGCCCCGCCCGCCGCCGCCTCCCCGCGTGGCATCGCGTCGGGCCCCCCGGTAGGGGTGTGAGGGTGCGAAGCCTCCCGGGCGCGAGGTGCCCGCCCCTCTCCGCGTCGGTATTGGCTCCTGGCTGGAAGGATGGAGGCGCCCCTGGTCCCAGGTGCCCGCCCTCTCGGGGCTCAGGTGCCTGCCCCCCTCGGCCTCGGTCCTTCGCGTTGTGGGGCAGCCTCCGCGCCGGGGCTTCTCCCTCGACGGTGGCGGGGAGGGGGGGTGGTGGTCGGGACGAGGACCCCAGCTGGGTGGGGGAGTCACCCTTCCCAGGACCGAGGCCGCCCTCCGCATCCCTCCTCACTGCTCCCGGGAGCGCAGCCTCCCCTGGATCTCAGGTTCCAGCTGCCCGTCTGTATCGGATGGGAGCCTCTTGGGAGAGGAGTGGAGGAGAAACTCCCCGTTAGTTGGAGCCTTTGCCGAAGTTTCCACCTCTGTAGTCTGCAGCTCTTCCCTCTCATAGCGAGTAGCGCCCTGGGTGGCTCCAGCCTCGCCATCCCGCTGCACTGGGCGCCTGCCTTTTTGGGGGAGTTTGGCTTTCCCCCACCTGGGGTACAGGACCGTCCTCAGTGTGGCCCACGTCTGGTCTCAGCTCTCACACTTCTTTGATCCTGGCGTCTGCCCCTGGCTTTGCAGCCTTGAACTCCCCTGCATCGTGACTCTCCGACCTTCTGGGTGTGGGCGTCTCCCAGTGATATCAGGACCACTGTGGTCTTGTTGCTGGGGGCTGCTGGGATCCCCTGGCGCTCAGGTGCCTGGTGAAAGACACTAAGCCGCCACGCTGTCCATGTTAGTGAGCTCCCACTGCGGGCAGCACCAGCCCCTCTTTCTGAGCAGTCCCTGCCTCTCAGTGCAGGGCGGCCACCCACCCCGGGGTGAGCTCTCCTGTCCTTTTGGTGAGGGGTTTTGATGTCTCCCCTCCCTCCCTTCACCCCTGCCTGAGTATGAGGCTTCTTCCATCTTCACACCAGTCTCCTCCTTTAGGGTGTCAGCTCTCCAAGGACCAAGAAGCCCACTGCCCTTGATATTTGCATCAGATCCCACACTGTGGGTTTGTTGACTTCCCATCTACCCTTACGCTGGGTGTCAGCAGTTGGAGAACAAGGGTTTCGCCTTCTGGCCCCGCTGCTGGTACCCCATGAGAGTAGGAAGCTTCCTAGACCCGGGTTCCTGTACTGCGAGGTGGGGGCTCTTCCCTCTGGGGCTGTGCCTTCTCTCCAGGGTAAGGACCCTTTCTTGGTGTCACCTCCCCCAGGGATAAGGTTCTTGCCATCCTTGGTATTGGTATGGCTGCTTTTCTGGATTTGAGGTGTCCACGCCTCTGCATGTGTCCCCACCGTAAGGCTGAGGACCCCTCTCGGATGCAGGTGCCCCCGGCTCATGCTTCCAAAACCCCCTCTTGATTTGTCACTGTATGGGGTAAGGCATAGTTTCCTGGCTGTGTGGATGTAAGATACCTGAGTCTCAAGCGGGAGACTCCACTGTAGACCCTGTCCCTGGGACCAGAGACTTCTCTGGTGTAGACTTTCCAAGGTGGGAGATTCCAGCCCCCCACCCTTGGCATGGGGCATCTCAGTGGAGATGACTACCTCTACCCCAGGCCCTAACGCATCCTTCTTCTGGAGTCTCAGAGCCTCTGTGTGGCCACGTCAGCAGCCACCTGGGTTAAGGATCACCCTTCAACATCACTTCTCAGAGCTCCTTGCTGCAGAGGCGGAAGCTCTCCCAGATCAAAGGTGCCTCATGACAAAGACCACTCTGTGGGCACATGACGGCCCCCAAGGTTAAGGACCACCCGGTGTTAGTTTCCCAGGGCTGACCTCCTGCCCCTCCCTCCTCGAGTCTTTGTGTGGTGGTATCATCTTCCCTGAGATGAAGTCTGGGGGGCTCTTCTTTACTGGTTTTGGCTCTGATTTTAGCGTGTTGGCTCCTGTGAGGCTGGTGTCCTGCTCACCTCCCCCCGCCCCGCCACCCGCCTTGTGGGTCCCTTCCCTGTGGGGATGTGTGTTCCTCTTGGGTAAGTCTCCTCCTGGGCCGAGGTTCCCAGATTCCTCAGTGCTCTTGGAGAGCCTTTGCTGCTGGAGCACAGGTTCTTCACGCCTGAGAGTGGACCTGCGATCACCACCTTCCTTGGAGGATCTTGGTGGATGCCCCCCTGACTACAGCAAATGGGGCTCTTTCTTCTCTGGCGGCGTCTCTGCTTCGAGACTCAGGCTCCAGCTTCCCTTCTCTCTGGTCCTTTGCTGGGGGGACCAGAGGTACAGATACCCTCATGATATAAGGATTTTCTTAGCGGGGAAGGTGTTGTCTCTACTGTGGCTAAGGCTCCAGCCTCTCTAGGGGACAAGTACCCTGGGCCTCTGGCACTTGCCCCTTCTCTGTGGAGGAGCTGCCTCCTCACTGGGTCTCAGCTGTAGCCGACTTCGATGTCACACTGTTCTGTCTGAAACATCACCTCCCTGGGTTAGCGCTCTTGTTCCCCTCCTTCTGGCTTGTGACCCCTCCAGGACTTCCTTCTCTTGCTGCCACAGTGTGGTCTCCTCTCTGTGGGTATTCTTCCTCTGCACTAGGATACCAGTCCTTTCCGTGTGGAGACACAGGGAGGGCGTCACCTGCCTAAGGTGTTGATTGCCTTGTTTAGGGGTGTAGACCATGAGACCTCTTCTCTCTCTGGGCTGGAGCACCTGCCCATGACCCTCTGTTGGGTTCTTGGGATGGAAAGAGGGAGTGTAAACTCTCGTTTCACATTCTTGTTCCCCCTATGCAGTAAGAGGCTTTTCTGTGTTGGGGTGTTGGACTTTGGTGAGGATCCCTGCACACCTGAGCTCTGGTGTCCAGGCCCTTGCCTTGTGTGAGCTCCCTGGGTCAAAGGGGCTTTCCCCTCCTCAGCCTGAATCCCCACTGTGGCACCTTCTCCTGGGTCCTTTTGTTGGTTGCTTTGCCTTCTTAGAGATTCCCCAGGTAGGGCGTGATAGCTGACCTGGGCGGGGGCTGCTGCGGCTTTCTTTAGGTTGGGCCTTTTACTGAGGAGATTTAAATTCCCTCAAGTGTAAGGTAGCACCCCTACCTATTATCACCCAGAATGGGTCCCTGCGGTGTTGGGAAAATTCTCCCTGGGGGTAAGGTACCAGCCCTGTCCTTTATGGGCTTCTTGTTCTAAAGCATATCCGTCCCATATGGTTGCTGCTAGTCACATGTGGTGATTAGTAACTAGTTAAAAATGAAAAATTCAGTTCCTCCATTACACTTGCCACATTTCAGATGTTCAGTGGCCAACAGATATGCGCAAATAGAGTGTTTCCAGCATTGCAAAGTTCTGTTGGATAGCACTGTTTGCCAGATGTTCCCTTCTTTGTGGGTGAGGACTCTTTTGGTGTGACTTCCCTCTGTATTGAGGCTCTTGTTCCTCAGTATGGGGCTGTTTCTGTCTTTACAGTAAGTGACTACTCCAGGGTTCCCTGCCCTGCACACGTAGAGTGGGAGCGGCCCGTGGATCCCAGGGAACTGTGCTTTTCATTGTAGGCCCCCTCCCTGGAGGGGAAGAGGGCAATCTCCGCTGGTATCTCAGAAGTCTTCTTCTGAGGCATAAGCCTCTCTTCCCAGGGCTCCCCTGGTCTCGCTGTCAGGCCCTAAGGTATGTCTTCCCTTGGACTAAAGCTCCTTGGAACTCCCTTTTGACCTCAGTCTTCTCTGGGTTCCAGGTAACTTCCTTTAAAATAAAGACGCTCCTCTCTTGAAGTTTTGGGTTCCTGCCCTGATGGTCTATGTCTCCCTGACTCTAAATTACCAATCCACTTGCTATGGGATTCCTCCATGAGTGCAGATCGGCTCCCTCACAGCTGCGGTACCTTTGCACCCTCTTATCTTAGTAAGATTTCTGTCTTCTCCCAGGTCTCTCTTGGGTACTGCCTTCTGCCCCCAAATCTCTAAGCCTTCTTGGTATTAGCTTCTTTGGGTTAGGAGTGTTATTTCCTTTTGGTTTAAGGATCCTGCTCTGGAATAAATGTCTTGGTGGTTTGAGTCCCTTCTACTTGGCATTCAGCCCTGTCTGCATGAGCGGGTTCAGCTCTTCACAGCTTTCGGCATCTCTGCTCGCCGTCGTTTTCCCCCACCCCCAATCTTTCTTCTCCTACCTACAGCTTACACACACACACACACACACACACACACACACACACACGCCCTTCTCTGTGAGCTGCCAGTTTCATTTGTCTCCTGACTTGTCTGAGGGATGACCTCTCCTAGCCACCTCTGCCCAGCCCCTCTGAGTAGGAAGTGTGATTTCCAGGGCTAATGCCTCCATCCCAGTCATCAGCTGTGTGCAGCATGACTGTCCTGCTCTGAAAAACCTTTTTGAGTGTATTCTGGGGAGAAGGTACTCCATGCTCTAGGAATTTTCCACTTCCTGAGTCAGAGGCACACAAAAAAGTATGTAACTTTTCTTGTTTCAACAAACTTATGGGGTCCCCTGTTGGCCAGACACTATGCTGGGCAGTCAAGCGAGCATCAGGAGAACTGGGGCTGGTCTCTTGTCAGATAGCAAATGCTTCTTCTCTTTACCAGTCCCACCTACCTCACTATGCTGACTAGGTCCATGTCTCTGGGTTTTTACCAGCCAGGGAATACGTGTTAATTCCTCTCCAATCTCTCCTAGCAGCGTCCGTCTCCAAGAGAGTATGAAGAGAGTGCGTCTGTAGGGCAGGGAAGATGGCGGACAAGCGCAAACTCCAAGGTACTAGACTGACTTCCTGCTGCACCTGTAGCCACATGCTCCCTCTTCTGAGGACTGCTCTTTAGATACCTGCCACCTGGGCAGGATTCTCACAGCCTTGTTCCTCCCTGGCCAGGTGAGATTGATCGCTGCCTCAAGAAGGTGTCCGAGGGCGTGGAGCAGTTTGAAGATATTTGGCAGAAGGTACAGGGGCTGAGACCCTAATAATCTGGGTCTTCAGAGAGGAGGGCACAGGAAGGCGGCTCAGGACCTCTGGGTGTTGACCAGCGGGAGGGGCTACATATGCAGATGCTGAGGACCTAAGAGAATCAGCTCTAAGATGGATTGGGGGTAGGGGTTGGGGGGGGTCCTCGAGTCCCTAGCATAAGGAAGAATCACTGGAGTGGGTACTGGGACATCCCCTCCCACACTGACTTCTCAATTCTCTCCATCCCTCAGCTCCACAATGCAGCCAACGCGAACCAGAAAGAAAAGTATGAGGCTGACCTAAAGAAGGAGATTAAGAAGCTACAAGTGAGGGGGCTGGGGGCCTGGACGCCTTTGTCCTGAGGGTAGAGGGAACTGGGAGAGTGGACTGCTGGGTCCCAGGGAGAAGGAGCTGTGGGCCCCAGTTCCTGGGTCCTGAGGTCTGACTTTCTTGCTTTTCCCATCTGCAGCGGCTGAGGGACCAAATCAAGACATGGGTAGCGTCCAACGAGATCAAGGACAAGAGGCAGCTTATAGACAACCGCAAGCTCATTGAGACGGTAGGAGCCCAGAGCCTGAGTCCCAGAGAGGTGGGAAGGTCACCAGATTCTTGAGATCCCAAGGGGCGGAGGCAGAGCGGCCAGACCCCAGAGGTCCTCAAGAGAAGTAAGGTTTCTGCACCTAAGGGAAGTGAAGAGGCAGCGGACTCAGAGCTCAGAAAGT
Organism: Homo sapiens; assembly: GCF_000001405.40. NCBI lineage: Eukaryota > Metazoa > Chordata > Mammalia > Primates > Hominidae > Homo > Homo sapiens. Next base: position 118,762 of record NW_003571057.2, read on the forward strand.
AGGGTCACGAGGCTCAGGTCGGAGTGTCTGCTGGCCCTTAGTCAGCTCCTTTCCCACCTTTGAGAGCCCCCCTGCCAACTGCACTCTCTACAGCAAATGGAACGGTTCAAAGTTGTGGAACGAGAGACCAAAACCAAAGCTTACAGCAAAGAGGGCCTGGGCCTGGCCCAGAAGGTAGATCCTGCCCAGAAGGAGAAGGAAGAGGTTGGCCAGTGGCTCACGGTGAGTTGGGGTAGAGAAGAGGAGGTGAACTCTGAGGATCCTGAGCCCTGGGTGTAGGCGGAACCCTAGCTGATGGGCTTCCTCTTCCTCTCCCTCCCCTAGAATACCATCGACACGCTCAACATGCAGGTGGACCAGTTTGAGAGTGAAGTGGAGTCACTGTCAGTGCAGACACGCAAGAAGAAGGGCGACAAGGATGTGAGTGAGGGAGACCCGACACCTTTGGGATGGGGATGGGCATGGGAATGGGCTGGCCAGCAGGAGGCCAGTCATTTATGCTCCTGGGAGTTGGGGCCTGGATTCCTCAGGCGGACAGGGCCAACAGCCGGGATTAGGGATTTGAGAGACAGGATTGGGAGGGCTTAGCAGCTGCACGCGTGGGGCAGGAAGGAGGTCAGACAGAATCTCAGGGTCCCCTGGGTGTCTGGGTAGACCGTGGGGCCTTTGTGAAGAGGAGCGACTTGGGGGAAGGTGAGTGCAGGTTGAGCTTGGGCCACAGAGTAAAAGTGAGACCTGAAGGACACCCATGGCAAGAGGCCTCCTGGCACCCAGAGGGCCCTGGTCCTAGGGAGAGCACAGTGGGTAGAGACAAGGCAGAACATGGAGAAGGCAGAGAACCAGGCCTGAAGGAAGACAGGAGTCTGGGACAAAGCTGGATGTTGGGGTCCCAGGTTCTAAAATCCGGGATTGTGGGGTATGAGTTCAAAGGGATACAAACTGTACAGACTTGCTGAAACCAGAAAGACAGGGAGGGGAGAGCCGGGTCCTCAGGGAAGCTGTGGGTGGGAGAGGGTCAGGAAGTGGAAGATGACAGGGTTGGGTGTCAGACTCTGAGGGGTTTGGGAACCAGGGGCTTTCGGGGAGATGATGGGTCCTTGAACAGAGCAGAGATTTGGAACCAAGGCTAAGATGTTAAATCCTAAAGGGGCCTTGAGGGGAGGGCAGGAGCGAGGCTTAGGAATCTGGGCTCTCTCAGGGATAAATGGGTAGGGTTGGGGGCCTAGTGATGACAGATATCACAATTCTAAACAGCAAGCTCCTCACAAATGGGGGTTATCATTGTTACTGCTGGAGCAGGTCGGAGGGTATCTGTATGCCAGAGGCAGTCACAGTGGTGGGCGGGCTCAGTTGAGAAATCTGGGCTGTCAGGTGAGGTGCAGATGGAGGCCAAGTCGTGGGATGGCACAAGGACCTCTGGGTCTTTTAGAGGTTTCCAAGGACTCCTGGAGCCAGAAAGGTGTGGGGAGAGGAGGGAGCAGTGGGATCCCAAGATGTCAAGGCTAAGATTGGTCCCCACAGGGCTCAGAGGGTGGGTGGACCCCATACTGCCCCACCCCGAAGGGGATGGCGTGGAGGCTTTGGGTCTCCACAGGGGTCAGGGACTGAGGACAGGTTCTGTGGGGGCAGGAGGGGCCAAGCAGGTGCTCTGCAGCCCCTGAGCCTGGCCCTGGGCTCGCCAGCAGAAGCAGGACCGGATTGAGGGCTTGAAGCGGCACATCGAGAAGCACCGCTACCACGTGCGCATGCTAGAGACCATCCTGCGCATGCTGGACAATGACTCCATCCTCGTTGACGCCATCCGCAAGATCAAGGACGACGTTGAGTACTATGTTGACTCATCCCAGGACCCCGACTTCGAGGAGAACGAGTTTCTCTACGATGACCTGGACCTCGAGGACATTCGTGAGGCCCTGGGGCTGATCGTGGCACAGGAAGTGAGGGCCCAGAATGGGCTGTGTGAGCCAGCTAAGCATGCCCTTCTTCTGCCCCCACAGCACAGGCGCTGGTCGCCACCTCCCCTCCCAGCCACAGCCACATGGAGGATGAGATCTTCAACCAGTCCAGCAGCACGCCCACCTCAACCACCTCCAGCTCTCCCATCCCGCCCAGCCCAGCCAACTGTACCACGGTGAGGCCCCACGGGACACTAGTACCTTGTGTTTCCAGCAGGGCAGGACTCGAGGAGACAAATCTGGGTCACTCCAAAGTGGCTATGGGAGCGTAATTGAGGAAACACAGATCTAGGTATCCAGGGTCTAGGCTCTTGGAGCACACGCTAAGGTCCTATATCTGGGTCCCTAAAGGACATAAAGAGCAATAGGGTGCATCCCGCGCCAGTTTAGGTCCTGGATCTGGGAAGTGGGAGGGGCCGGTGCCTGGGCTGCCTGAGGAGGCTGGGTAGCTGGCCACCTTGGGCAGGGATCCAAGGGTTGGCTTCCCTGTGGAGAGCAGGTTCCCAGATCCTTAAGAGGCTGGTGGGTCAGTGCTGGCTCCCAGAAAACAAGAAGACTGGAGAGCCTGAATTGAGATGGTTTCTCCAGGCAGATTAAGGACAGCCATTTGACCAGCTCTGGGGCCGCAATGGCAGTCAATTGGGCCCAGGTCCCCGGGGCATTCAGAGATTGGCGGTTCTCCATCAGAGCCCCAGAGGTCACACAGGTTTCTATTCTGCCTCCCCTACCTCAGGAAAACTCTGAAGATGATAAGAAGAGGGGACGTTCCACAGACAGTGAAGTCAGCCAGGTGGGTGTGAGCCTGGACCGGGTGGGCACGCCATTCACTCCTCTGTTGCTTCCCAAAGGCATCTTGAGGCCTGAGCGCCGGCCACTGTGCTGGGCTGGTGGACACAGGTGGCTCAGAAATCAGTGCTGCCCTGAGGGCAGGTGGGCAGGGCAAGTGGACAGGTGACTGGTGCTGTGGTCAAGGGGGTAGCACACAGGTCACCCTTGGCCTGGCCAGGCAGTCAGGAGATGCTGCTGTGGAGTGCCCTGGGCTTCACAGTCAGGTGAGTTTGCCTGGCAGGGAGAGGTGGCAGCCAGTAACATGGGCAAGTTGTGACAGAAAGTTTGGAAGTGAGGAGAGATGAGTCTGGCCAGGTCTGCAGGGCCAGGGCCCAACTGTGAGCACAGGGACTGGGACTGTCAGGCTGAGGGGCTCAGGCTTTGTGGACCTGAGTGGCCTCCAGAGTCCAATAAGCCTAGGAAGCGATGGGGCCTTTGCTGTGCTGATAATACACACTGCAAATTTCTGAGAGGAGACGGTGGCGGGCAGTGCTTCTTCAACTCCTTTAACATCTCCCAGGACAGGAGCACGCTTTCGGAAACGCTGCTACAGAACAATGTTAGGCAGGAGCAGCATGGGCCTGAGGCCCCTCTGTGGGCTAACGGGATGGATGGTTCCAAGGGGACACCCTGAGTGGGCATTGAGGAGGCTGGTGTGGAGACTAAGGGGACCCGCAGGTAGTAGTGAGGGCGGGCAACAGGGCCAGGAGGTGATGAGGAGAGACACTGAGGCAGGTACTCCAGGGGCCAGGCTGGGCTCTGCCACCTTCCCAGGCCCCCACTGCCAAGCAGCGATGCCCAGGAGAGAAGTGGGTAGTCAGTCCTGTTGGGCGCTTGGTAAGCGCAAGGTGCCTGTGGGGTGGCTGGAAAGAAGCCCAGGAGGTGGTTAGGCTCAGCAGCCGGAGTGCTGTCCACAGATTGCCTGCGGTAGGGATACCATGAGCACATTTACCCTCCCACCACTTTCTGGAGTGCTGGTAACTTCCAGCCCTGTGAGTAGCTTCTGTGACCCTTCAGGTGACATTCAGAATTACTATCCAATTTCCAGCTGTTTTTCCTTCTACTCTTGGACATTAGGCGGCTCCAGCTAATCTCATATTGAGAACACTTAAGTGTTTCCCACTAGTCCTCTGGCTTCCAACAGATGGATCTTCTCTGGCTGACAACCTAAGTTGTGTGTCAGATCCCTGTGGGGGTGTCCATGGGGCGGTGTCCAGGCAGGACTTGGGAAGCTGGGCAGGCTGGAAATCAGTGTGAGTGTTTTAAGCATGAAGGTGATTGAAGCCATGAGGGTGAGTAAGGTCACCCAGGTCCCCAAGAGGGCAGGAGCAGGTGGGGGCAGCGAGGCCAGAGAGGAGGCTGCTGGGACAAAGATGGAGCCTGAGGTGGGGGTGGTGAGGGAGACCAGCTGGCCCACTGGGTCCTGACCCTCTGCTCTCTCCCACCCGCAGTCTCCAGCCAAAAACGGCTCCAAGCCTGTCCACAGCAACCAGCACCCTCAGTCCCCAGCTGTGCCGCCCACCTACCCCTCCGGCCCCCCGCCTGCTGCCTCTGCCTTGAGCACCACTCCTGGCAACAATGGGGTCCCCGCCCCCGCAGCACCCCCAAGTGCCCTGGGCCCCAAGGCCAGTCCAGCTCCCAGCCACAACTCGGGCACCCCTGCTCCCTATGCCCAGGCTGTGGCCCCACCAGCTCCCAGTGGGCCCAGCACGACCCAGCCCCGGCCCCCCAGCGTCCAGCCTAGCGGAGGCGGAGGCGGCGGCAGCGGAGGTGGAGGGAGCAGCAGCAGTAGTAACAGCAGTGCCGGTGGAGGGGCTGGCAAGCAGAATGGCGCCACCAGTGAGTGAGGAGGCAGCGGGGTGGGGGGCGTGGGCGGGGCTGGGCAGCAGGCAGCAGCCCTTTCCATTTACTCTTTGTTCCCAGGTTACAGCTCAGTTGTGGCAGACAGCCCGGCAGAGGTGGCTTTGAGCAGCAGTGGGGGCAACAATGCCAGCAGCCAGGCCTTGGGCCCCCCTTCCGGCCCCCACAACCCACCTCCCAGCACCTCGTGAGTGTCTCGGCCATCGGCAGGGTTGGGATGGCAGCCTTTTGAAACAGAGAGGCGCAGGCGCCTCACCCCCGCATCGGTGGGTTCTGAACCCCCCGCCCTTGCTGCTGGGAATGGCCAAGCGCTATCCTCCATCTCCCTCGGGTGTTACACCCCCACTTCTTTCCAGCAAGGAAACTACATCAGCCTCCCTGCTTTGCCCTTCAGAACATTCTAAAATACGTTCTCATCTAAGTGGAAGTTTTCTCAAGAGCCCCATACCCTTTCCTCCCCATTTCTGTTACCTGCCTGAGGCCAATTGACTGCCACCGGAGGGTCACTGTTTCACTTTTCAAAGTGAATTGTCCCGAAGTCCTTATTCCTCTGCAGCCACTCCTTCAAATCTTAGCTCAGACCATTCCACTGGGTCTGCCTGTTTCCCGAAGAATGCCCTAAGAAAGATCAGTGTGCACAAAGGAAAGGCCTGCTTCCTGCCCCCTCACCCCAGCTCCAGCTGGCCTGCCCAAGGGGGAGTGGGCCCTGTGAACACCTGCCCAGGGCAAGTGGTTTTGATCAGCCTGTGGCCTGGTGGAGCACCCGAGAATCCTCACCCCCACCCCCACAGCTCTGCTCTGCTGATGAGAAACCATTCCAAAGATTGGGCTCTGCCTTTGTTTGCCCAGAGAACCACTTCTTTCTCCCATCTGTCTGCCCTCACCTGCCCCTCTCAGATCCCATCTGATCTGTGCAGTCTCCCCTCTCTCCAGCCAGGCCTCTCTGCCCATCCCACCCTCAGGGACCCTCCTCTCAACCCCCTCTTCCATGCTCTCTCTCCAGGAAGGAACCCAGTGCGGCAGCCCCAACGGGGGCTGGGGGCGTGGCCCCAGGCTCAGGGAACAACTCAGGGGGACCCAGCCTCCTGGTGCCACTGCCTGTGAATCCTCCCAGCTCCCCAACGCCCAGCTTCAGTGATGCCAAGGCAGCCGGTGCCCTGCTCAATGGGCCTCCACAGTTCAGCACCGCCCCAGAAATCAAGGTGGGCTCCTCGGACATCCCCCGAGCCTCTGTGTCCTGACTCTGTTGTTTCTTTCCTCCAGGTCTCTAGCTGCACCCCCTGCCCCCACCCTCTTTCTGGATCTCTTTCTCTGGCTTTCTGTCCCCTTCTCACACTTGCTCTTTCTCCAGGTCTTTCTGTACCACCCTCCCCGTGACCTTGATCTCTGGGGGCTCTCATACCTCCTCTCTTGTTCCCTCCAAAGCTCTGTTTCTCTGGGTCTCTTTTCCTTTCTCTTGGTTGCACTTGTTGCTTGCTCTCTCTGGGTCTCCATCTTCATCCCCCCCGCAGGCCCTCAGTTTCTGTCCCCGTTTGTCCTCACAAGGCATAGACTGGTGTACTTTCTGCACAAGTAGAAAGACTGGTTGGGTGAATGCAGCCTGGTTCCACCCTTTAGGAAGCTTCCCTGCTGGGGCAGCTGCAGGGAAGGTTGCGGTGGGCCCACCGAGGGGCATCTGACCTGACCTGGGAGACAGGCCCAGGAAGGTCTGAGAGGGGGTGATGTTTAAGCTGAGACCTGGACCAGGCAGGGGGGCTAACAGCTGCAGGAAGGGCTTCAGGAGGTGCTTTAGGAGGAGCATGCATCTGCCTGTGTGCTTAGGAAGCTGGGCAGGATGCAGCAGAGAGGAGAGAGGTGTCCACTCTGCAGGAGACAGTGCCACCAGCTGCAGGGCTGAGATAGTGGGTGTAGCAGGATAGGACGGTGGGGTCCTGATCATCGAGGGTCAGGAGCTGGGGCTTGGCTTGTGAGCCAGTATACTGTAGCGCAGCTTCCATGGGGGGACCAGTGTGTATGCCCAGGCTGTCCAGGAGGCAGTGTGCGCGCCCAGGCTGTCCAGGAGGCAGTGTGCGCGCCCAGGCTGTCCAGGTCCAAGTCTTGGCATTGTCCTTTCTGTGCCTTCATCTGGGAAACGGCAATAGTCACGATTATACCTACTATGTAGGGTTATTTGGAAGACTAAATCATCCTCATAAAGCTCTTGGAACAGTTTCTGGCCCAACAGAAGCATTAATTTTTTTTTTTTTTCTTTTTTGAGACAGAGTCTTGCTCTGTCACCCAGGCTGGAGTGCAGTGGTGCAATCTCAGCTGAATGCAACATCCGCCTCCTGGGTTCAAGCGATTCTCCTGCCGCAGCCTACTGAGTAGCTGGGATTACAGGCGCCTGCCACCACGCCAGGCTAATTTTTATATTTTTAATAGAGATGGGGTTTTGCCATGTTGGTCAGGCAGGTCTTGAACTCCGAACCTCAGGTGATCCACCCACCTCGACCTCCCAAAGTGCTGGGATTACAGGTGTGAGCCACCGTGCCCGGCCCAAATTTTAGAAGTAGGTGGACAGGATATTTATAGTGCGTGCATTTTTCTGGAAAAAGGGAAACAGCAGCTTTGAGATTTTCAGAAGGGGTCCATATCTTTTAACACCACCAACAACAAAAATGAATCGCTGGGGTGGGTGGTCGGGAACCATGGCAAGGTTTGGAGTAGAGAAGGAACAACATGACTTCATTGGAAAGGTCCCCTGGGGCTGGTGAGGACAGGATAGAGGGAGGGTGGTCTGGGCAGGAGAGGACAGGCCTGGGCTGTGTGGGACATGGTGGCACGACAGGGAAGGGAGCCATCCAGTGGGGTTTAGAAGCAGGACGGATAGCTGGGCGTGGTGGCTCACACCTGTAATCCCAGCTCTTAGGGAGGCAGAGGCGGGAGGATAGCTTGAGCCCAGGAGTTTGAGACCTGCCTGGGCGATATAGCGAGACAGAATGGATAAGCCTTGGCGACTGACTCGTTGTGGAGAGTCCAGCACAGGGCTGGGGTTTGGGACAGCTGCACGTGGCTGGAGGAGATGGGAGGAACCAGCCCTGACTTTGGGGAACAGAAGCCTGCTGTAACCTTTGTAATAGGAAACGAGGCTGTGGCTGCGGGGCTGGAGACCCAACCTACCTGTTTCCAGCAAGGAGACTGAAGCCTAGCCGGGCTGGGCCCACCCCGATTCCAGTCACCCCATGCCAGTCACAGGCAGACAGCTGAGCATGTAGACCTCCTGCCTCCTTCAAGACAGGCGGGAGCTCTCCCAGCGTGTAGGTGTCCCTAGTGAAGGAGCGTGTACTATTGGCACATCCTTTGACAAAAATGGTAGCGCACTGTACATATTCTGCAGGTTGGCGTTTACTTCTGTAGTATGTCACGAACTTGTATTTTGAAAATCTCGGCGTAGTATTCCATGCTGCAGAGTCCCACTCACGAGACGTTCCTCTGCTGATGAATGCGTCGTGGTCTCCGATTGTTTCCCTACAGTTTGATGCTTTTACCTGTCATGGGTAGATTGTGGGGAGTGGGTCGTTGGCCCTCCACGGCCCCCAAACAGGGCAGGTGAGAGCATCTGGGGCCTGTGTCAGGCTGCACTTGCTCCTGCAGCCCAAGTGCTCAGGCCAGGCCTCTTGTTTCCTCCCCAGGCCCCTGAGCCTCTGAGCTCCTTGAAGTCCATGGCGGAACGGGCAGCCATCAGCTCTGGCATTGAGGACCCTGTGCCAACGCTGCACCTGACCGAGCGAGGTGAGGGACCCAGGATGGTGGGGAAGCAGCGGGCCAAAGAGGAGGGGCTGCCCCTGACCCATCCTCACCACTGAGGGGGCCGGACCCCCACCCTCCCCACAGACATCATCCTGAGCAGTACATCAGCACCTCCGGCCTCAGCCCAGCCGCCCCTGCAGCTGTCAGAGGTGAACATACCGCTGTCGCTGGGTGTCTGTCCACTGGGCCCTGTGCCCCTCACCAAGGAGCAGCTCTATCAGCAGGCCATGGAAGAGGCCGCCTGGCACCACATGCCTCACCCCTCTGACTCTGAGCGTATTCGGTGAGGGGCCACAGGGAAGGGGGATGGTCTGGGACTTGAGTCTTACGGAGGAGGCAGTGGCTGAACCTGTGAGGCTGTGGGTAGAGCACCAGGCCCCTGACTTGGGCTCTCCACTGAAGGTCAGCACCGCCCTGGGTCTTTCTGTACCACCTCCCCCCGCAGGGATGCATGTCTGAGCACCCTTTTGATCACGACAGGACTAGTAGGCAGCTGGCACTGACCTTCCTGTTGCTCTCACAGGCAGTACCTCCCCCGGAACCCCTGTCCGACGCCCCCCTACCACCACCAGATGCCACCCCCACACTCGGACACTGTGGAATTCTACCAGCGCCTGTCGACCGAGACACTCTTCTTCATCTTCTACTATCTGGAGGTACAGCAGGGCCCCCGGGGCAGCCTCGGGCCCCCCGGCTTCGCCGCCACCGCCGCCGTCCCCCCTCGGGCTGGAGGGGTGAGGTGGGTGCCCCACTGCGGCCACTGGGACCGCACCCCCTCCCTATTCCCACTCCTGGGCCCCTGCCCCAAATCCACCTGTCCCCGTCCCCGCCTTCCAGCCCAGAGATGTTAGAACTGCTTGGGTTGACAGCGAGGCTGGTCCACTGAGGCACACCTCAGCCCCGCTTCCAGTTGCCCACTGGCTCACCCGCGGCCCCTCCCCAGCCCTGCTCCAGCAGCCCCAGTCTAGGCCGACCCCACTCTGCTCATCGGCACATTCTCAGGCCTCCCTGGAGACCACTGGGGAGCTGTCCAGCCCCCTCCCAACCCCAGTGAGTCATGAGTGACCTCCACCCTCATCCCCACTTGGGAAATTTTCTAAATTGCCTCCTCTCTCAGCTCTCATCACACATTAGTTTTTCTTCCTTCTCAAAGCTTCTCTGAAAGCAATTTTCACCTCCTGTCTCATTTTCCTTCTCCTGATCAGCATTGGTATGTTCTGTGCCCCCAGCCCCATCTCCAAGAGGATTGTCCAGCCCAACTGTGGTCTGTGGCGGGGGCCGGGGTTCAGCCCTGATGTCCTGCCCCATTCCCCTGGCTCCCCACCCAGTTTGGGGGCCCCCTGATCCCCCTCTCCACTGTTCCTCCCCCAGGGCACTAAGGCACAGTATCTGGCAGCCAAGGCCCTAAAGAAGCAGTCATGGCGATTCCACACCAAGTACATGATGTGGTTCCAGAGGCACGAGGAGCCCAAGACCATCACTGACGAGTTTGAGCAGGTGAGGGCCCCGCCCCCTCTCTTCCCGCTGCTAGGGTTGGGGTAGAGTCCCCAGGCTCCAGGCAGCCCCTGCTGGCCTCTGCTCCCTTGCCTCCACCTTTCAGCTGGCGCAGTCCCTCAGCCTGACCAAGTACTCCTCCCTCTGGCTGTCTGCTCAGCCTGGAACACCGCCCTCTCATCCTCCACTTGGCCAGCTCCTAGGCCTCCTGTAGGTCTCAGCCCAAATGTCCCTTCCTCAAAGAAACCTTCCTGGAGCCACCCAGCCCAGTGCCTCCCCTTTGCAGTGCTGGGCACACTCGCTTGGGGTGTGGGATTTTCCCAGTATGTGTCCCTGCACCAGGCTGTGGGCTCTGCTGCCGAGGGACCTTGATGGCCCCCACTTCACCTCCAGGTCCCAGCACTCAGCAGGGCAGGGGCTCAGTGCCGAAACTATTTTTTTTGAATGGGCTTCTCAAGTTCTAATACTGGGAAATTCCTGCTGCTTGCAAACACTCTGGAACCAACCTACCTGGGTTTCAGCCCAGTCCAGCTGGGCGACTCTAGGCAAGTCACTCGAACCTCTGTGTCTCAATTAACTTATCTGTAAAAATGGGGGGAAGACCACCTACCTAATGCAGTTGTTATGAAGATTAAATGAGTTAATAACATGTAAGTACTTAATGGTGACTGCTACATAGTCAGTGTCATGGATTTTTTTTTTCAAATTACTTTCAGTTGGTGTGTTCTACAGTGATGTTTTTTTCCACCAAATACTTCCCTGATGCCGAGCCCCTTCATGGGGATGAAGTAGTACAAGGTCCTTGTCCTCAGAGAACTCAGTCCCCTCTCCTGGTTCTCCCAGGTTGCCATCTTTGAAGCACTTAAGACATTCATTTAGAACCTAGGTCCTCTCCCATTGTGTCCTCAGATGTTAACCACAGACTTCCTGTCCTTTCCTGGTTTGGCCCAAAACCATCCTCCAAGTTAGTACATTTCAGGGCATCCAGTCATTCAGAAATTCCCACACCACTTCCGTCACCAATAAAATGTCCCTGCAGAGTGCTTGGATTTAGACTCTGAGACTGTTCCATTCTCTAGAACAAGGGTGACAGTACCCACTGCCTCGAGGTCTTTGTGAAGATTAAATGCTAGGCTGTGCATCCTGTACTCACGTGAGAGGTGCTCAAAAGCCACAGCCCTCGAGGAAACGAAGGCTGTGCACTCACACCTGGGGCTGGGGCCCCGTTCTGGCAGCTGGCTTCGGTGGAACCTCTGCGGCCCCCTCCGTTTCCTCCTCGCTGAAGTGGCATGATAACATTTCCTACCCAAGAAGAACCTTGTGAGGATGGATGAGAGTGTGTGCGTGCAGGGCAGCTGGCCCGGTGCCTGACACATCCACAGCCCTAAGAATTGTCCCCTTTGTCTGTTGGTCCGGCCCAGATCCCAGACCACCTCCTCGTCCACTCACTGACCGCCTTCTCCCCCGGCCAGGGCACCTACATCTACTTTGACTACGAGAAGTGGGGCCAGCGGAAGAAGGAAGGCTTCACCTTTGAGTACCGCTACCTGGAGGACCGGGACCTCCAGTGACACCGGCCCCTCCCTCTACCCACCCCCTTCCCCCGCATGCTGATCCCCCTGCCCAGGTGAGGGCCCTGCCCTGGAAGACTGGAGGGAGGCCCCAAGCCACGGGGCATCCCCCTCTCCCAGGAAGCAGGGAGGGGGCCGGGAGGTTTTCCTCTCAGCCCCACCCTGGGGGCCCGGGGGCGAGGGCTGCCCCCTCCTCCCCTCCCCAGTGAGGGACATTTTTTGGTAAACCTATTTTCATTTTGGAAAATATTTATGAATAAATAGTTTTATATGACGGCTGGCAGCAGCGGCCTCTCCTGTACCCCCTCAGGAGTCAGTGAGTAAGGTGAGGGTCCTGCTGGCGGGGGCGCCGGGCCAGCTGGGGGTTGAATTGGGAGTTGTACCGCCGCCGCCGGTCATCCGTCTCGTCTTCTTCCGGCTGACCCTCCTGTAGTGCCCGGCCTTGGACCCGGGCCAGCAGGGCCTCTGCCCGAGACCTCTCAGCTGCTTCCCTCCGCAGACGTTCAGCTCGAAGCTGGTCCAGGGATGGAGGCCTGTGGGGAGAGGAGTGAGGTCAGAAAGCTGGTAGCCCCTAGGAGGCCATTCCCCCAACCTCTCCCATAGAGGGAGCTGCCGCCTGGAAGCCCCGCTGCATCCAGCACACCCCAGCCTCAGCTCCTTAGGCCTGCTGGAAGCAGCCACTTGGTGCTGGGACGCCATGGGCACGTCTCTGGCCTTCCCTTCTGTGGGCTTTGGTCCTCCCCAGTCTTTAAAATCTGATGCTTCTCCAGGTCAAGAAAGCACACTTAGCAGCCCCCTGGCCCTCAGTTTCCCTTTCTAGAGGAAAGAAGACTACAGGCAGTGTACCCCCTCTAGACCAGGGGTGCAGCATCCTGGAGACAGAAGCCTGCTTTTACTCTCTAACCCAGCAGCTCTCAAACTCTTTGGTCTCAGGACCCCTTTATACTCTTAAAAACCAAGGACCCCAAGAGCTTTTGTTTAAATGGGTTCTCTTAATATGCTGCAAATCATTAGTGAAAACTAAGAAAGTTTGGACACAAGCATCTGCCATTGGCCATCAGAGTGAGGGTGTCTCCCCATCACACAGCCTCTGGAAACCTGCACTACATGCCTGAGAACACGAGTGGAAAAGTCCACCAGTGTCAGGAAAATAGGCTTGACACCACAGCACCCCGGGAAAGGGTGTCAGGACCCCTAGGGCTCCCTGGACCACATGCTGAGAACCACTTCTCCACCTAGCCAGCCCTTCACGGAGTCCCTGGCTGTCCTGACCAGAGACGCTGCAGTGCCCATGCTGGGCTGCTGCCAAGCCCTGAAGGTCTGGGCCCTGGTCTGCCGAGGTGGGGTCTTCTTACTCCTTGGGTCGCTGCTTCTCAGACCCCTCCTTTTCCTTTCTGCTGCGACTGCCTTCATCACCGCCGTGCTGTCTCTTCTTCCCCAGATGCTTCTGCATCTCCCGCAGAGGGTCCAGACGGCTCTTGATCTTCTCATCTGGGGCTGGGCCGGGCGGGGGGCCCCCTCGCCCTGGGGGTAGCTGGTACCAAGGGGGTTGAGTCTGTGCCTCCGCTGCACTCTGGCCCAGGTATGTCAGGATGCCCAGAGCTTTCTCTTGCCTCTCCTGAGGGGGCCAGGAAATACAAGAGATGTGATATAATCTTTCAAGGTGTCAGGTGTGTCTCCCTGACACAGGTATCTAAGCGAACAGGTATCTAAGGCTTGTTATGAACCAGTTGGACCAGGTGCTGGGGATGGAAGACAAACAGAGGCAAAGCTCCCCCTGGGGGGACAGTAGCAGGTACAGTAACAGCAGGGGAAGGAGGGGACAAGTGGAGCCACTTGAGTGTTCAGAGGCAGGCATCTTTGCAGAGAGACTTGAAGAGAAGCCTGAAGGGATCAAGCAAAGCAGAGGAGCGATGGGTGGGGTCAGCAAGTCCAGAGACAGCAGATAAATGACAAGAGCTGATGTACCTCTTTTTTTTGAGATGGAGTCTCGCTCTGTTGCCCAGACTCGAGTGCAGTGGCACGATCTCGGCTCACTGCAACCTCTGCTTCCCAGGTTCAAGCAATCCTCCTACCTCAGCCCCCCGAGTAGCTGGGATTACAGGCACACACCACCATGCCCAGCTAATTTTTGTATTTTTAGTAGAGACGGGGTTTTGCCATGTTTGGCCAGGCTGGTCTTGAACTTCTGACCTCAGGTGATCCACCCACGTTGGCCTCCCAAAGTGCTGGGATTACAGGCGTGAGCCACCATGCACAGCCACTGATGTACCTTTTACACTTGATCTTAGCCAAAAAGCAAGAGGCGATTGATTCACTTTTTGTTTGATTGTTTTGAGATGGGGTCTCGCTCTGTCACCCAGGCTGGAGTGCAGTGGCGCAATCTCGGCTTACTGCAGCTTCCACCTCCTGGGTCAAGCGATTCTCCTGCTTCAGCTTCCCTGGGATTACAGGCGCGCACCACCATGCCCGGCTAATTTTTTTTGTATTTTTAGAGATACCATGTTGACCAGGCTGGTCTTGAACTCCTGACCTCAGGTGATCCACCCGCCTCAGCCTCCCAAGGTGGTGGGATTACAGGCGTGAGCCACAGCCGGCTGATTTAAATTTTTAAAAGCCCATCAGGTTTGAGACTCCTCCAGTTTGGAGAACTGAGCGGTTTGCCCAGCAGCTGGGGACCTCTAGCATCTACCTCCAACCCCTGTGGGCGCCCAGACGGCAATAGCCAACGCTTTTTGAGTGTCATGCCTTGGTATGGTCCTAAATTCTGTGTGTTCACTCTTGTTTGACCTTGGTCACAACCAATGGCTAAAGTGCCCCCTCCCTCCAACTCGATTCATGGCCCCTCTGATGAAGTGGGTGAGGCCAGCTTACTTTCTCCTGTCGCTTTTCTTCCTCGTACTCTTTATTGCCTCTGATCACTCCTTTCCCTTCCTCCAGCAGCTCCCGAAACAGGTCCACAGGGCCAGAACCTGGGGCTCCCGCCTCTGCTGCTTCAAGCTCAGGCAGTGAGTTCTGATGTCTGGCTTTCTTCCGTAGGAATTCTGTACGGGCCTGGGGAGAAAGTTATAGGCAGGACATTCAGAACCTAGAGGTAATTCAAGAACTGTGAGTCTGGTGCCCACCACAGAAAATGGCAGTCCAGGGTGCTGGGGTTATGAGAAAGGGAGCACTAGGCGCCTAAAAGAGGCACCTGTCCTAGCTGGGGGTGAGGGTAGGCAGATGAGGCAACGCCTGGGTTTTGTAAACTCCCTTTCAAATAGTAAACCACGGGTCATCAAGGATGTATGGGAGGAGGTCCCTGGCCTAAACCAAAGGGGTTCCTAACCTCAAGTGAGACAATTAAAACAGCCATAAAGGTATGCATTAGGCCAGACGATCTGAATTCTAGCCATGGCTCCAAGTGACTACCCCAAGTCTGCTGAAGCCCTGTCCCCTGCCTTCAGGACGCGGATTTCAAACAGCGCTCAGCAGCCTACTGAGATTCTAAAAACCTAGACTACCTCCCACCCACGGCGGAGGATCAGACTAGCTAAGGAAATGAAAGTTGGGTGTACACCAAACAGATTTAAAGAGCCATACGGAAAGCCCGTGTTTGTGTGTATGTGTCTAGGGGGCGGTGCACGAAAGGGCTCGCCCGATGGCGTGGAGCCTGGCTGTCCGCCTCTCCTTAAAATGTGCCTTCCCCTCACTGAAGCCATCTCACTTCGTGCAACAGAGATGACAGTGCCCCTCTAAGAACGAACAGTGCTTATTGGGGATTCCGCAAGTCAGGTGCACGGCATGTAGTTAGCATACAGTAGATGCTCAATAAATAGGCTGTGCAGGCAAACTAAAAAGTGATCCGAATTTCCTTGAACTGTCCAAGGGTTCACGGATTCATTAAATGTTAAGCTTCTCTTTTGTGCTAGACACTGTTCCAGCCATGTGAAATACATCAGTGGGGGAAAAACTAAGACGAGGGCGAGATCAAGGAAGGTTTCGTGGAAGTGGGCACAAGGTTTGCGGGGCAACGTCCTCGAAAGTGGGATCGGCGCCTGGTCCCGAATTTCACACGGGGCACATTGAGCCTGCGCAACGCCTCCGCTTCCGGCCCCCAACCGCGGCGCCTGCGCGCTGGGCCCCGGAGCGCCGCCCTGCCGGCTTCCGAGCTTACCTCTTGCTGAGCCAGCAGCACCCTCCGCTCACGCTCCTTCTCCTCCTCCCGGGCCTGGGCCTCGTCACGCCGCACGCGGGCGACATTGTCCTTGTTCCGGACGTGCCAGCTCTTCTTGGGCAAGATATTCATGGCGTCGTAGCTGTCCAGGGACTGGCACGCCCGCCTCTTTGCACTTCCGATTGGCGAGAGGATGCCCCCCTTTTTCTTGTCCCTACTTCGACCGCGGATTGGTTCCGAATTAGTTGGTACGGCCCCCTGGCCTGTAGCGACAGGTGATTGGCTGAGACGCCCTTTATCACAGCGAATGCTAGGCGTTCGGCTCGTGGTATCCCCTAGCAACCGCCTCTTGTCACAGATCTGAACCAATCATAAGTTGGCCCGCCCCTGATGCTACCAGATGCGGCCGTCGATTGGCCGACATGACCGACAAGTCTCCTTGCGGAAGAGCGCTCTGCACCGACAAACATGCCCGTACATTTGATTGGCTCCTGCCCCGCTGTAGCCCTGCCCCCACCTTCAGGACGCAGATTTCAAAGCGCGCTCAGCAACCTCGGCTGTATTTATTGATACAAGGAAGATCACCCGAGAGTCAGGGACGTGGCGGCGAGGGGCCCTGGAAATCTCCAGATACCAAAGCTGGAAGGGCGTGGAGTCTTCTCCAGTTCTCCTAGTTTACAGATGTTGTGACCTAGGCTTACAATGGGCCTGGGGTCTGAAAGCGGGACGTGGGCTGCGGGGGTCAAAGAGCCGGTTTGGTGGAGGTCAGCGCCACAGCGCGCCGTGCCAGGAAGACTTTATTCTGCGCCTCCTGGGGCAAAGAGAGGTGGAGGTGAGACAATCCTCTTCCCCAACCCCTTTCCATGTTCCCCAGGGGCCCTCTCAGGGACCCGCCTGGCTCACCGTCTGTCTCTGACGTTTGAGCTCAGAGATGAGGCGTCCGTAGGAGTTAGCCAGAGCCACAGTGTACGCCATCAGGATGCTGAAGGAGACAGGAACGGAAGCCACTCCTGACACGCTCTTCCATTATATCCAAACGTCTGGCTCCTTCGAAGCCAGGGATGTGGACGCCTAAGCCCCTCCTCGTCTGGGCTCAAGGAGTTCAGTCTCCCAGCCCCTCCGCCTTCAGATCCAGGAGTCCTACGTCCCGCCCACCTCCTCCTTCGGACCCAGCAGTCCAGGAGCCTAGGCCTCCTCCCTCAGACTCAGTACGTTGCCTGCTCCCACGCCCAAGCCTCTCCTCTCTTGGACGCAGGTGGTGGCCCCCAGATCACACGCATTCAAACCCAGACCCAGAAGTCTGGGCCGTCTCACCTGGAGATCAGCAGAAGGGGCACAGCAAAAGCCTGGGTCCCCAGGAAGAAGAGGAAATTCTGGGTGGTCTCAGGGAGGCTGGAAATAGACTCAGGGATCTGGGCCCAGATGGACGACTGCCCCCGGAATGGACCACAAAGCTTAGAAGGCGGGATCCTGAAGTCAAGACAGGCTGGGCTCACATAGTGCCAGGAGTCTGAACACTGAATGGGGAGAGAGGGAGGGAGAGAGGCGGGAGCCTCTCGCACTTACAGGAAGATGCTGTAAAGCAGGGGAACGCTGGAGATGGCCAGACCCAGGAGAAGGACCAAGGGGAAAAAGAAATTCGCCGCGGAGGCCCGGAAGGTGCGGGCAGCCGGGGAGCAGGTGGAGAAGAGGGTAAGCTGGTGGGGGAAGGCACGGAGAAAAGGGCTCTGAAACACAAGAGTCTGTGCCTCCATTTTTTTTTTTTTTTTTTTTGAGACAGAGTCTCGCTCTGTCGCCCAGGCTTTTTTTTTTGAGACAGAGTCTCGCTCTGTCGCCCAGGCTGGAGTGCAGTGGCTCTCACTGCAGCCTCCCCTCCCGGGTTCAAGCTATTCTCGTGTCTCAGCCTCCCGAGTAGCTGGGATTACAGGTGTGCACCACCACTCCCGGCTAATTTGTTTTGCTGTTGTTGTTGTTTGTTTGTTTTCTCTTTTTGAGACGGAGTCTCGCTCTGTCGCCCAGGCTGGAGTGCAGTGGCACGATCTTGGCTCACTTCGACCTTCACCTCCCTGGTTCAAGCAATTCCCCTGCCTCAGCCTCCTGAGTAGCTGGGATTACAGGCGCCTGCCACTAAGCCCGGCTAATTTTTTTTGTATTTTTAGTAGAGACGGGGTTTTGCCATGTTAGCCAGGCTGGTCTCAAACTCCTGACCTCAGGTGATCCACCCGCCTTAGTCTCCCGAAGTGCTGGGATTACAGGCGTGAGCCACTGCACCCGGCCTACCTGCCTCTCCTTTTTTCCGAACCAGGAGTCTGAGCCCCTTCCTCATCTAGGACCCCGGAGTCTGAGTCCCCAGATCCTCAGACATATAAGTCAGAATGCCCTAGACCCCTCCTCTCAGATGCAGTAGTCTGTCCTCCAACCCCCTCCTCTCTCAGGACCGAGTAATCCAGGCCCCCAGGATCTTCCTTGCCCTTGACCCAGGAGTGCGGGCCCCAATACCTCCTGCCTCAGACCCAAGGGTCCCCCCTACCCCTTACCTTCTTCAGGTAGAAAAGCAGCAGGAACTTGACCGTGTTAAGCAGGGGCAGTAAAGGGCAGAAAAAACTCCCCACCCAGACCACCGTCTGCGCGTAGATGAGCCCCAGCACCTCGTCGGGCACCTGGAACTCCTGGGTCCCCGCCAGACGACCCAGCGCCCCAGGACAGAGGCCACAGAGGAGCCTGAAGGACGGGGCGGGGCCGGGCCGGAGTCAGGGGAGTGGCGGCCTGGAGTTTCCCCGCCTCCACCGCCCCGCCCGCCAATAGGAAGCATGCGTATTGGTTGGGGGGGGGGGGGCGGGACTTTCAGGACTCCACGTGGAGGGGGTGTGTCCAGAGGGCGGGTCCTGAGGACTAGAAGGGACCCAGATGTCGCCGCCGTCGGGGCCAGAGGGAAGTAACCCACTAAAACAAGGGCGGGGAGCGGGGAGATCTGCGGACCTAGGGCAAGCAAAGGGAGCAGGCAGAGGCGGGAATGGTAAAAAGGTGCGCGGTGAAAAGAACAGCGCGATGGGGCACGGCCTCGTCCTAGAGGGGCGGGGCCACAGCAAGGGGCGGGGCTCTCACTTTCTAGGAAACTGGATGAGCAGCGCGACTGCCAAGACAGTCAGCAGATCAAAGAGCAGAAGTTTGTACATTTCCTGGCCCAGGACAGTCTCCCAGCACTGAAGAAGGAAGAAATATATCAGAAAGAACTCGGGACCCGGGCACCTGGAGGCCCACGCGTCCGAGTCTCCACATCGCAAGCCTATGAGACCCTGTCAATACTTTCTCTGGGGGTCCTCGTTTTTCAAACTTTCATACCCTTGGGAGAGTGTTCCAGCACCCCAAGCTCCCCTCTCCGCCCAAACCAAGAGTCTGGACCCACCCAGCTCCATCTTTCCTTCAGGGACCCAAGAGTCCCACGCACACCCATGCCGTTCTCACCGGAAGTTGTTTGTAATTGTAGCCACAGGTTTTGCAGTCCTCAGCCTCGGAGTCGCCCCCACAAGTGATCTGATTCCAGAGAGAGAAGAGCAGGACCACCAGGGAGGCGAGGCGAAGAAACACGGTCCTGAAGGGGGGAAGGCAGAGAATGGGCCCTGACCCGGTACCCACCATGTGGCAGTTCCCTTCTCAGTGGAACGCGCCCGCATTCAACCCATCTCACAGATGAAGCTGAGGCCCAGTGACAGAATCAGGATTTCTTTCTTTCTTTCTTTCTTTTTTTTTTTTTTTTTTTGAGACAGGGTCTCACTCTGTCACCCGGACTGGAGTGCAGTGGCGCGATCTCAGCTCACTGCAACCTCCACCTCCCAGGCTCGAGCCATTCTCCTGCCTCAGCCTCCCGAGTAGCTGGGACTACAGAAGCCACTACCGCCGGGCTAATATTCGTATTTTTACTACAGACGGGGTTTCATCATGTTTGTCAGGCTGGTCTCGAACTCCTGACCTCAGCCTCGGCCTCCCAAAGTGCTGGGATTACAGGTGTGAGCCACTGCACCTGGCCAACAGAGTCAGGATTTGAATCCCTGGATTCGGTATCAGCAGGATTTCCGTGTCTTACCTGTCAGCGCCAACATCCCTCTGACCGCCCCCACCCTTCATCATTCCCAGCCATCCCCGTGAGGCTGGAACCTGAGCAGGATAAAAACGATCTGGCGACTCCGAGTGTAGCCCTCCAGTGGAGCAATGAGCTTGAACACGGGCGGCAGCACAAAATTGACCCCAGCGATGAAGATGGACGGAAGGTAATTCACCCCAAGCTTCAGCAGTGGCAACTCCTGGACAAGGGGCATCTCCTGGGAGCGGGATGGACCATGAGTAGAGGCTTGGGGTCCTGGAGGAGCCAAGCTTAAGGTCCTCCCCCCGGCCTCTTCTTCTTCTTCTTCTTTTTTTTTTTTTTTTTGAGACAGAGTCTCGCTCTGTTGCCCAGCCTAGAATGCAGCGGTGCGATCTCGGCTCGCTGCAACCTCTGCCTCCCGGGTTCAAGTGATTCTCCTGCCTCAGCCTCCTGAGTAGCTGGGATTACAGGCGCCCACCACCACGCCCGTCTAATTTTTGTATTTTTAGTAGAGACTGTTTTTCACCATGTTGGTCAGGCTGGTCTGGAACTCCTGACATCGTGATCCGCCCGCCTCAGCCTCCCAAAGTGCTGGGATTACAGGTGTAAGCCACCGCGCCCAGCCTCTCTTTTTCCTTTAAAATCCCTAAGTCCAGGGTCCGAACATACCCTCTCCCATACTTCCTCTCTAAGATCTCTGGCATCCCAAACTTCCGTCCCCTCCCTCCACCGTTGGAAATGTAGGTTCCAGGACCCCCTGGCTTCCTCTTCCAAGACCGTCCGCACCTGCAGCTCCACGGTGCACCCCGTAGCCCAGTAGACGCCATAGAAGGCTGCCCCCAGGAGCGCGACCACCAGCAGGTTGAGCAGCACCCGCACCAACCAAACCCTGGCTTGCTGGCCCAGCGTCCGCACCGCAGCCTGGCGCCGCACCACTGTCTCCTCCAGCTCCACCTGAAGGCAGGAGAGATGCCCGCTTGGACTCCATTTCCCAAGGCGCGGGCCTCCCGGTTCCCCAGGTCTGGCTCTCCAGAGATCCTCCTTAACGTGAACTGATGCAGCCGTCTCCCCACCCGCTAACAACCTCTGCAGTCCTGGTTCCACCCGCTCCAGGAAACCAGCGGCCCTTTACAGCCCCGCCCCTTCGCGGCCGGATCCAGCAACCCAAGCCCCCATCCCTCCGCGGTCAATCTCAGCACCCCAGGCCCCGCCCCTGAGGCTCCGCCCAGCATCCCAAGACCCGCCCCTGGTCAGCCCTGCCCATCAGAGGCTCCGCCCCCAGGTGGCCCTGCGCTTTATTCCTGGCCTGAAGTTCCAGTTCAGCTGTATCAAGACGCCCTGCTGGCCGCTCCCATCACTTAACTTTGAACCAAATTGCCTTAGGCCCCGCCCGCTTCTTGTGCTTACTTAAAAAAAAACAAACTTTTTTTTTTTTTTTTTGGTAGAGAGGGAGCCTCCCTATGTTGCCCAGGCTGGTCTCGAACTCCTAGACTGAAGCGATCCACCTGTCTCGGTCTCCCAAAGTGCTGGGGTTACAAGCATTAGCCACCGATCCCAGCCCTGGCGCATCCTTTTCCTACACGCTTGGAGCTCGGGCAGCCCTATCTCGGCCTCCTCTCAACCTTCTCATTCCCCAGGACCTGCCTTTCTTGGAGAAGGAGCTGCTTAGCATCTCTCCGGAGGCCCCATCACCGAGTTAGGCCCTGTGCGTTATCTCAGCCCGGTCCTGTCTGGTCCCTACCCAGTTGCAGACCCCGCTCCCTAATCGCACCTTTAATTCGTACAAGATGATGCGCTGGCGCAGCCGCACGTGGACGTCCCCGCAGAGACCGAAGTCCCAGGCCGAGAACACCCGGTGGCTGTAGCTGGTCAGAGCCTCGGACTCCGCCAGCAGTGTCTGCTTCAGCCCAGACACCGAGCTGAGAGGGGAGACCCGGGAGACGGGAAGTGAAAGGACAGCCAGGAACGGGGGTTATGGGGAGACCCCTCATATTGGGACAAATGGGGAAGATGAACCCTAAGGCCTTGGGTACTAGGCGAGTTCCCACCAGACCAGATGGGGAAAGAGTCAAAGAGGCGGAGACACAGTCATTGAAGGCAAAGTCCAAGGGAGATTCAGAGACAGTTCTGGGGTGCAGGCACCCCAAAGAGAGGCAGAAACCTAGGAGACAGGGACAGAGCCTCGGAGCGAAGGGGGCAGAAACCCAGAGTGAGAGAAACAGAGGCCCTGAGGAAGACAGAGATGTGGAGGAGGGACAGAGGCCCCAGAGGGAGATTCGGAGAAAGGGAGAAAAAGACAGTGAGAAAGGGGAAACTACATCTACAAAAGATGGGGGTCAAAGACCCATAAGAAGTACAGGCACACAGAGAAGGGAGCTGCGGCGGGAAGAGCCGAGAAGAAGACAGAGACCCAGAGAAGATGGCAGGTAAAGACTCAAGAGAGGGGGCAGGCCAGGCGCCATGGCTCACGCCTGTAATCCCAGCACTTTGGGAGGCCGAGGGGGGAGGATCACCTGAGGTCAGGAGTTTGAGACCAGCCTGGCCAATGTGGTGAAACCCCGTCTCTACTAAAAATACAAAAATTAGCCAGGCGTGGTGGTGCATGCCTGTAATCCCAACTACTTGGGAGGCTGAGGTGGGAGGATCACTTGAACCCAGGAGGTGGAGGTCGCCTCCAAAAAAAAAAAAAAAAGACCCAGAGAAGACGGGCAGGTAAAGAGACTCAAGAGAGGGGGGCAAAGACCCAGGAAGGAGATAGAGAACCCCAGCAGGGGCAGAAACAGAACTGGACAAAGAGACCATGTGCACCTTCACTGCCCTGGCCCCGGCCCCCATCATCTCTCATGTGAACAACCACAGAGGGCCCTCACATGGTCTCCTTGCTTCCACTTGTGCCCGCATATAATCCATTCTCAGTTCTTGAGCCAGTGGGACCTTCTTTTGATGCAACTCAGACCGTATTCCCCTGTTTAAGACCTATTCCAGGGCTTTTCCCTTCTCTTAAAATCGAGGCTCTTTGCCGGGCGTGGTGGCTCACGCCTGTAATCCCAGCACTTTGGGAGACCGAGGCGGGTGCATCACCTGAGGTCAGGAGTTCGAGACCAGCCTGACAAACATGGTGAAACCCCATTTCTACTAAAAATACAAAATTAGCCGGGCATGGTGGCACATGCCTGTAATCCCAGCTACTTGGGAGGTTGAGGCAGGAAAATTGCTTGAACCCGGGCGGCGGAGGTTGCAGTGAGCTGAGATCGCACCACTGCACTCTAGCCTGGGTGACAGAGCGAGACTCCGTCTCAAAAAAAAAAAAAGTTGACTTTTGGCCAGGCACATTGGCTCATGCCTGTAATTCCAGCACCTTGGGAGGCTGAGGTGAGCAGATCTCTTGAGCCTAGGAGTTTGAGCGCAGCCTGGGCAACATAGCAAGACCCTGTCTCTATAACATTAAAAAAAAAATTTTAGCAAGACATGGTGGTGCACCCCTGTGGTCCCAGCTGCTCCCGAGGCTGAGGTAGGCGGATCAGTTGAGTTCCGGAGGCCCAGGCTTCCGGTGAGCTATGATTGCACCACCGCACGCTAGCCGGGTGACAGAGTGAGACCCTGTCTCAAAAAACAAAACAGACTGGGTGCGGTGGCTCACACCTGTAATCCCAGCACTTTGGGAGGCCGAGGCAGGTGGATCACCTGAGATCAGGAGTTCGAGACCAGCCTGGCCAACATGGCGATACCCCGTCTCTACTAAAAATACAAAAAATTAGCTGGGCGTGGTGGCCGGAGCCTGTAAACCCAGCTACTTGGGAGGGTGAGGCAGTAGAATCGCTTGAACCCGGGAGGTGGAGGTTGCAGTGAGCCAAGATCGTGCCATTGCACTCCAGCCTGGGCGACAGAGTAAGACTCTGTCTCAAAAACAAACAAACAAAACAAATGAAAAACAAAAACAAATCCCAAAACCTTGATCTTTTTTTTTTTTTTAGATGGAGTTTCGCTCTGTCGCCCAGGCTGGAGTGCAGTGGCGCAAACTCGGCTCACTGCAAGCTCCGCCTCCTGGGCCACCGCTCCTGGCCCAAAACCTTGATTTTAACTCACACAGAATAAAGGGTTACACAGCAAGACCGAGGATTCTGGGGCCGGGCGCGGTGGCTCACGCCTGTAATCCCAGCACTGTGGGAGGCCGAGGCGGGTGGATCACGAGGTCAGCAGTTCAAGACCAGCCTGACCAACATGGTGAAACCCCATCTCTACTAAAAATACAAAAAAGTTAGCTGGGCGTGGTGGCGGGCGCCTGTAATCCCAGCAACTTGGGAGGCTGAGGCAGGAGAATCGCTTGAAACCGGAAGGCGGAGGTTGCAGTGAGCCGAGATTGCGCCACTACACTCTAGCCTGGGCAATAAGAGCAAAACTCCGTCTCAAAAAAAAAAAGACTGAGGATTCTTGGGGAGGGGGTTTCTGCCACCACCACTTGCTCCCCCACCCCAACCCGTCCCGTCAGGGGTCAGGGGTGCAGGTGCCACTGACCGATGCAGGATGAGCAGGAGGCAGATGAGGCCAACGGCAAAGGCCCAGCACAGGTAGGTGACCGCCAGGCGTGGGCGGGGCGGGTAGAAGCCATAGAAGAGAGGGGACCATTCCAGGTAACCCTGTGGGGGGAAGGCGGCGCAGGGGCCACTGTGGGAGGAGGCGGGGCTCCTGGAGCTGCACAGTCAGGGTCTGGGGTCAGGGTTTGAGGTTCGTGTCATTGAAGGCACTGGGGTCACAGGTGGGCGGGGAATCCCCCAGGGACCCAGGCACCTACCTCACCCGAGAGCAAGTTGAAGAGCTGGGTGGCAAAGGTGACCAGGCCCTGGGAGTGGGGGTTATAGGAGCCGCAGGGCGAGGAGATGTCGGGGCCGGGAGGGCCTGGGGGAGCGCCTCCCAACCAGGTGGGCAGCAGCGTCATGCAGGCCATGAGCACAGAGGCCAGCACGTTAAGAAGGAGCAGGAAGCGCAGCAGGGAGAAGTAGGACTCCGTGCCGGCGCCAAACTGGCCTGCAGGGGGCAGCAGAGAGAGGCTCAGGTTCCTTCCCGGGAGCAGGACCAGCCCCTCCTACCCCTGGACTGGGGTCCAGCCGCGCCTTCCTTTCTTTCTTTCTTTTCTTTCTTTTCTTTCTTTCTTTCTTTTCTTTCTTTCTTTTTCTTTCTTTCTTTCTTTCTTTCTTTCTTTCTTTCTTTCTTTCTTTCTTTCTTTCTTTCTTTCTTTTCTTTCTTTCTTTCTTTCTTTCTTCCTTTCTTTCTTTTCTTTCCTTCCTTCCTTCCTTCCTTCCTTCCTTCCTTCCTTCCTTCCTTCCTTCCTTCCTTTCTTTCTCTCTCTCTCTCTCTCTATATATATATATATATATTTTTCTTTTCTTTTCTTTTCTTTTTTTTTTTTTGAGACGGAGTTTCGCTCTGCCGCCCAGCATGGAGTGCAGTGGCGCGATCTCGGCTCACTGCAACCTCCGCCTCCTGGGTTCAAGCAATTCTCCTGTCTCAGCCTCACGAGTAGCTGGGATTACAGGCGTGCGCCACCATGCTCAGCTAGTTTTTGTATTTTTGGTAGAGACGGGGGTTTCACCATGTTGGTCAGGCTGGTCTCGAATTCTTGACCTCAGGTGATCCACCCACCTCGGCCTCCCAAACTGTTGGGATTACAGGCGTGAGCCACCGCGCCAGGCCCAGCCGTGCCTTTCTCAGACCCAAGAGTCCAGACCCCCAGCCCCTCCTCCCTCAGACCCAAAAATCCAGGCCCAAGCCCCTCCTCCCTCAAACCCAGGAGTCCGTCCCCAGCCCCTCCTCCCTCAGACCCAGGAGTCCAGGCCCTGCCCCCAGGACACCACCCAAACCCCACCGCACCCCCGATCCTCTTCAGTGTCCACGCCCAGGGCTGCAGGCTTCGCAAGCCTTCCTTTGTTTTCTCCTTGGACCTCCGAAGTAGCCGCGCCCATCGGTCCGTCTTAGTTCCAGAGCCATAGACCACCTGGTCCCTGCTGGCATTTCTTTGCCTGGGAGGGAAACAGGCAGAAAATGAGGGGTTTCGCAGCCCCAGACTGGGAACCATCTGAATGTAGACACAATCCAACAGTAGAATGGAGAAGTAAATTGTGGCCTATACATAAGATAGAATACTCTGTAGCAATAAAAAAGAAACCAGCTGGGTACAGTGGCTCAGGCCTGTAATCCCAGCACTTTGGGAGGCCGAGGTGGGTGAATCACCTGAGGTCAGGAGTTCGAGACCAGCCTGACCAACATGGTGAAATCCTGTCTCTACTAAAAATACCAAAAAAAAAAAAAAATTAGCTGGGCCTGGTGGCGGGTGCCTGTAATCCCAGCTACACGAGAGGCTGAGGCAGGAAAATTGCTTGAACCTGGGAGGTGGAGGTTGCAGTGAGCTGAGATGGCGCCATTGCATTCCAGCCTGGGTGACGGAGTGAGATTCCAAGAAAGGAAAGAAAGAAAGAAAAGAAAGAAACCTAATGCTAGGCAGAAGAAGCCAGCACAAAAGACTGAAGACTGTATGATTCTATTTGCACAACGTTGCAGAGCACAGCTTGCAAAGCTCTACAGAAAAGCAGGAGGCTGGAGTGGGAGGATCGCTTGAGCCCAGGTGTCGGAGGCTGCAGTGAGCTGAGACTGCACCACTGCACTCCAGCCTGGGCATCAGAGCAAGACTCTGTCAAAAAAAAAAAAAAAAAGGTTAGGGAGAAGAGGTTACCTTGTATTTGTGAGGAAAAAGGGGGTGTCAGGGGAGGGACGCACAGGGTGCTGTCATGCCGTGTCACTTGCCCTAGCTGGAGTTTATCTGGGCTCTCACTTTATGAATACAGCCATCCCTCAGTATCCATGGGGGTTGGTTCAAGGACTCCCCAAGAATACTGAAATCTGTAGATGCCCAAATTCCTTATATAAAACGGTATAGTATTTGCATACAGGCTACACACATCCTCCTGTGTTTGTTTTATTTTATTTTAATTTTTATCTGATTTTTACAGACAAATGTCTCGTTTTGTTGTCCAGGCTGGAGTGCGGTGGTGCAATCATAGCTCAATGCAGCCTCAAACTTCCAGGCTCAAGCAATTCTCCCGCCTCAGCCTCCCAAAGCGCTGGGGCTACAGGTATGGGCCACGACACCCAGCCCTCCAATGCACTTTAAATCACCTCTAGATTACTTATAACACCCGGTACAAGGTAAATGTTATATAGATAGCTGTTCTTTTAACTTGTATTATTTTTTGTCATATTGTTACTTTGATTATTACTTTTAAAAAATAGAGATGGGGGTCTCGCTATGTTACTCAGGCCGCAGTATAGTGGCTATATTCACAGGCATGATCCCACTACTGATCGGCGTGGGAGTGTTGATACATTGTTATTTTTTATTGTTTTTTCCATATATATACACATATATATACATATATATGTGTATATATATACACACATATGCATATATATACGCATATATGCGTATATATATACGCGTATATACGCGTATA
The DNA here is from genome assembly GCF_000001405.40 of Homo sapiens. Lineage (NCBI taxonomy): Eukaryota > Metazoa > Chordata > Mammalia > Primates > Hominidae > Homo > Homo sapiens. The sequence continues at coordinate 146,001 of NW_003571057.2, forward strand.
TATATATTTGAGATGGAGTCCCGCTCTATCACCCAGGCCGGAGTCCAATGGCACGATCTTGGCTCACTGCAACCTCTATCTCCCTGGTTCAAGCGATTCTCCTGCTTCAGCCTCCCGAGTAGCTGGGATTACAGGCACCCGCCACCACACCCAGCTAATGTTTGTATTTTTAGTAGAGTTGGGGTTTTGCCATGTTGGCCAGGCTGGTCTTGAACTCCTGACCACAGGTGATCCACTCGCCTGGGCCTCCCAAAGTGCTGGGATTACAGGTGTGAGCCACTGCAATGGGCCCATAATCATTTTTGAAGGAGGGCACCTGCATTTTCATTGTTCACCAGGCCCTGCAAATTATGCAGTGAGAATGGGAAAAGAAAGAAGTTAAAGAGAGGGAGGCTTGGAAGAGGAGGCAAAGATGAAGGAAGGTATAAAGCAGAGAGAAATAAATATTAACAGATTTTGGACACACACACAGAGAGAAACTGAGGCAGAGACAGGATTGGTGGAGACCAGGGAGACGGCAAATCCCAGAGAGAAGAGACCCCAGAGCCATCGAAAGGCAGCACTCACCTGGAGTCCGAAGTAGAGACAAAGATGAGGGGAAGAAAGAAACCAAGAGAGGCAGCTCTGAGCGGGGCAGAGAGAGGCCCCAGAAGCCAGGAGCGGCAGAGGACAGAGGGAGGAGACCGAGTCCAGGGTATGGGAGAAGGGCCCGGTCCGGGCTGTGCGGGTCCCAGCTGGAGGTGGGGCCTCACCTGTGTGCCCGTCTGGCCTGCATGGGCCAGGGCAGTTCCCGGGAAGGGTGAGGGTCCTGCAGCTCTGTCTGGGTGACTTCTGTGAAGGCCTTTCTGCTCCTTCCTCCATCCTCCTCCTCCTCCTCCAGCGCCCCCCAAGGCAGCACCCCAGGGTCTCGGTACCGAAGGGTGGCAGCACTGGGCAGCTCGTTCAGCACAGAAGACAGCGATGGGCCTGGGGAGGAGCAGGGGGCTGGGAAGACCCGGGAGTCTGGGCCCTAATTCCTCCTCCCTCAGACCAGGAAACCAGGTCCCCGGCCCCTCCTCCCTCAGACCCAGGAGTCCAGGCCCCCGGCTCCTCCTCCCTCAGACCCAGGAGTCCAGGCCCCCGGCTCCTCCTCCCTCAGACCCAGGAGTCCAGGCCCCCGGCTCCTCCTCCCTCAGACCCAGGAGAACAGGCCCCCGGCCCCTCCTCCCTCAGACCCAGGAGAACAGGCCCCCGGCCCCTCCTCCCTCAGACCCAGGAGTCCAGGCCCCCGGCTCCTCCTCCCTCAGACCCAGGAGAACAGGCCCCCGGCCCCTCCTCCCTCAGACCCAGGAGTCCAGGCCCCCGGCTCCTCCTCCCTCAGACATAGGAATCCAGGCACCCAGCCCCTCCTCCCTCAGACCAGGAAACCAGGTTCCCAGCCCCTCCTCCCTCAGGCCCAGGAGTCCGGGTGCCAGCCTCTACTTCCCCTGGACCCAGGGGTCCACAGCCCTCAACTCCATCCCCAAGCGTGGAACCCTCCTACTCCAGGGCAGTGGAGTCCAGGCTTCAACTTCCTTTTCCCTCTAGCTCAGGAGTGTGGGAACCCAGCCTCTCCTATTCCCAAGACACCCAAACTCCCAGCCCTTAGCCCTCCCCTCCTCCCAGACTAGCCTGGTTCTCCAGGCTCCTCCTCCTCAGACCCTGGAGTTCCAGCCTCCAGTTCCCTTCTCCCCCATAATATCAGGAAGTGGAACCTTCTCTCTTTAGCCCTCAGACTCAGGAGGCCAGGCCTCCCCTTTCCTCCTCCAGCAGGACTCCCACCTAGCCTGAAGGTCGGATGGATCTGAGCTTCTCCTGGCATTCCCTACCTCCTCTGGCCTCCCGGGGGGCCAGCCACCCCCTAGAGGAGCCCCAGGCTTCTGATTCCAAGGTCGGGTTTTCTTCCATGGCCCAGGCTGGGCTGTCTCTAGTGGCCACCAGGCAGACACTGCCCCAGGTAAGGGAGGGGCCAGGGGCAGGTGTGTACCTGGCCAGCAGGTGGCCCGGAGGGAGTAAGGTACACTTCCTGTGGTTTCTCAGGGCCGCTGATGCGAAAGGTCTCCTGGGAGCTGAAGTCCCCGTGGTGCCCCGGGCCTGACAGTTTGGTTCCTGGGCTGGGCGGGGGGGCTGTACCTCACCCTGGGACTTGGTGGACTAAGTCCTTCCCACCGTTTATCACCCAGATACCTGCACGGACAGGATGCCTTTGTGCAACACTTTATTGGGAAAGATTTACACACGGTGACCTGTCATAGGCCAAGCGATGAGAAGAGGGCGCCAGGAGCGCTGGGGTCCCGAGGTGGCTCAGATGGAAGCCATGGGACGGCCGTCCCCAGGCCCGCGCACCCGCACCTCAGTTTCCCCTTTGTGAAATGGGAAGCTTATGCTTCCTTCCAAGTCTGCAATATTGGTGCGATGAGCTAAAAGTGGAGCGAAAGACACAAGGAAGAGGCTTCCCACTCCCAGGACCTGCCCCCAAGCTCCGACCCCACATTGTGGATGCAAAGAAAGGGAATTTGCCCAAAACCCACTGCCCAGGGGCCCCTTCCGTTTTGGGGAAGTGCAGTGCTCTCTGGATACCCAGAAGCTGGAGCAGGGGCCAGTGACTCTTGTCTGGACAATACTTTGATTTTGTAGGAGTGGAGGTGGCCTCTGGGCAGAGGGCAGGGAGGACACCCCCGGGTCTGCTTCAGTTGCAGGCAGGGTATTTAGCTGGGGAAGAGGAAATTCTCTCCAGGACCCTCTCCAAGGTAAGGACTCTTTCTGGGGAGGAGACAGCAGCCTGGTTCACAGAATTCCCGGGACCAGCTGGCAGAGGGAGCGTCGTGACAGCTTACTCCTCCCGGAGCTTCTCTGGGGCAAGGCTGGTGGGCTGGGATGCTGCCTTCCGCCGGCTGGGGCTGCCCCCACCTAAAGCCAGCCCCAGCCCCAGGGCTGCCAGGGCCAGGAAGTGGATACAGAAGTAGATGGAGGCCCAGTACCGAAGGGTGTCGGCCAAGGAGAGCAGCACGAAGCCCATGCACATGTAGTCATAGGCGCGCATCTTCAGGAACCAGTGCACCCAGTCCCAGGCCTTCTGGCCCCCTGGGCTCAGCCGCCCCCGCAGGGCTGACTCCAGCCGGCCCTCGGCAGCCAGGCACAGCGGGATGGTCAGGAAGCTCAGGTAGTAGCCCGGGTGGAGGCCGTGCCAGTAGGCGCTCAGCAGCATGGTCCAGGCGCTCCTGAGGAGGAGGCTGGGAGTCAGGACCTACGAGTCCAGGTCCCCAGTGCCCACTGCCCCCAGATCCAGGAGTCCAGGACCCCAGCCCCTCCTCCCTCAGACCGAGAAGTGCAGGCCCAGCCCCTCCTCCCTCAGACCCAGGAGTCCAGACCCCACCCCTTCCTCCCTCAGACCCAGGAGATCAGGCCCCAGTCCCTCCTCCCTCAGACCCAGGAGACCAGACCCCACCTCCCTCCTCCCTCAGATCCAGGAGTCCAGACCCCACTTCCCTCCTCCCTCAGATCCAGGAGACCAGACCCCACCTCCCTCCTCCCTCAGATCCAGGAGACCAGGCCCCAGGCCCTCCCCACTCAGACCCATGACCCTAGCTCCGGAAGGCGGAGGAGGCTACAGGCCTCTGTCTCCTTCAGGGATCCAGGAGCTCGCAGCCTTCCATACACACTCAGTCCTATCAAGACCCTCTTCTTCTTTAAAGATTTAACATTTTATATTCCACTGCCCTTCCTCTCCCAGGACCAACAAGTCTTAATTCTTCAGCCCAGTGGTTTTTTTTTTTTTTTTTTGAGACAGAGTCTCGCTCTGTCGCCCAGGCTAGAGTGCAGTGGCGCGATCTTGGCTCACTGCAAGCTCCGCCTCCCAGGTTCACGCCATTCTCCTGCCTCAGCCTCCCGAGTAGCTGGGACTACAGGCGCCCGCCACCACGCCCGGCTAATTTTCTTTTCTATTTTTAGTAGAGACGGGGTTTCACCGTGTTAGCCAGGATGGTCTCGATCTCCTGACCTCGTGATCTGCCCGCCTTGGCCTCCCAAAGTGCTGGGATCACAGGTGTCAGACACCACACCCGGGCAGCCCGGTGGTTCTTAACCTGGGGTCCCAGGTCTGGCATCAGCATCACCTGAGAACTTGTGAGACATACAAATCCTTGTCCCCACCCCTTTTGCACCAGAAGCCCTGGGGGTGGGGCCCAGGAGAAGTCTTCCAAGTTAACAAGTCCTCCAGTGACTCTGATGCCTGTTAACATTTGACAACTCCTGCCTGGCTCATGAAGATCCAGAAGTCCCTGGCCTGTGGTCCTTCCTTATTCTGGGCCCAGGAGATATGTTCCTCTTCCTCCAAGGCCCAGCACCATCTTTCCTCACTCTTTTTATTTTTTTGGAGACAGAGTCTCGCTCTGTTGCCACACGACAAGGCTCACTGCAGCCTCTGCCTCTTGGATTCAAGCGATTCTTATGCCTCAGCCTCCCAAGTAGCTGGGATTACAGGCAAGCGCCACCAAACTCAGCTAATTTCTGTATTTTTTGTTGTTGTTGTTCAGACGGAGTCTCGCTCTGCCGCCCATGCTGGAGTGCAGTGGCGCAATCTCGGCTCACTGCAACCTCTGCCTCCCGGGTTCAAGTGATTCTCCTGCCTCAGCCTCCCGAGCAGCTGGGACTACAGGTGCCCACCACCATGCCAGGCTAATTTTTGTATTTCTGGTAAAGACGGGGTTTCACCATGTTGGCCAGGATGCTCTCAATCTCTTGACCTTGTGATCCACCCGCCGTGGCCTACCAAAGTGCTGGGATTACAGGCGTGAGCCACTGCACCCAGCCATTTTTGTATTTTTAGTAGAGATGGGGTTTCACCACGTTGGCCAGGATGGTCTCGATCTCCTGACCTTGTGATCCACCCACCTTGGCCTCCCAAAGTGCTGGGATTACAGGTCTGAGCCACCGCGCCCAGCCTCTTTTTTTTTCTTTGTAAAGATGGAGTCTTGCTATGTTGACCTGGCTGGTCTCGAACTCCTGAGCTTAAGTGATCCTCTCACCTTGGCCTCCCAAAATACTGGAATTACAGATGTCAGCCATTGCACCTGGCCAACTCTTGTTTTCTTGAGAAGGGAGGACCATTGGCTTTCTGGTTCTTCAAGAGTGCGGAGGCTGGGTGCAATGGCTGGCACCTGTAATCCCAGCACTTTGGGAGGCTAAAAATACAAAGATTAGTCTGTCATGGTAGCACGTGCCTATAATCCCAGCTACTAGGGGGGCTGAGACAGGAGGATTGCTTGAACCTGGGAGGGAGAGGTTGCAGTGAGCCGAGATCACGCCACTGCACTTGAGCTGTAAAATAAACAAAAACGATGGATCCTGTGCATTTTAAGGTGTTTAGGAGCATCCCTGGCCCCCACCCACGACATCCGACTAGCACCTTCCAGTTACAACAACATGTCTCCAGGGATTGCCATGTGTCTCCTGGGGGTGCAGCAGCAGCACAGTTGCCCCCAGTTGAGAAGCACTTGTCTAAACACTGGGGTGCTTTGACCTGGCCTCAGCCCCAGAGCTTTAAGCGTCATCTATACCTGGCCAGATGCAGTGGCTCATGCTTGTAATCTCAGCACTTTGGGAGGCTGAGATGGGAGGACTGCTTGGGGCCAGGAGTTTGAGACCAGCCTGGTCAACACAGTGAGACCTCATCTCTATACATTTTTTAAAAAGTAAAAAAAAAATAATAATAATACTTAAAAAATTTTGGCCGGGCATGGTGACTCACGCCTGTAATCCCAGCACGTTGGGAGGCCGAGGCACGCGGATCACTTGAGGCCAAGAGTTCGAGACCAGCCTGGCCAACATGGTGAAACCCTGCGTCTACTCTTGGCACGAGAATCACTTGAACCCAGGAGATGGAGGTTGCAGTGAGCTGAGATCACAACACTGCACTCCATCCTGGGTGACAGAGCATCAAAATACTAATACTAATACTAATACTAATACTAATACTAATACTAATACTAATAATAATATCCTTCTTACTCCCAAAACTTACCCTTCCTGGGTCTTCCCCTTCCACATTTATCTAATTAAATTAAATTAAATTAATAATTATTTTTGTTTGTTTTTTGTGTTTTTTTGTTTGTTTGTTTTTGAGACAGAGTCTCGCTCTGTTGCCCAGGCTGGAGTGCAGTGGCGCGATCTCGGCTCACTGCAAGCTCCGTCTCCCGGGTTCACACCATTCTCCTGCCTCAGCCTCCCCAGTAGCTGGGACTACATGCACCCGCCGCCACACCCGGCTAATTTTTTGTATTTTTAGTAGAGACAGGGTTTCACCGTGTTAGCCAGGATGGTCTTGATCTCCTGACCTTGTGACCCACCCACCTTGGCCTCCCAAATTGCTGGGATTATAGGCATGAGCCACCGTGCCCGGCCTATTTTATTTTATTTTGAGACAAAGTCTCTCTCTGTTGCCCAGGTGACCTTGGCTCACCGCAACCTCCGCCTCCCGGGTTCAAGTGATTCTCTTGCCTCAGCCTCCCTAGTAGCTGGGATTATAGGCGCCCGCCACCATGCCTAGCTAATTTTTTGTATTTTTAGTAGAGAAGGGGTTTCTCCATATTGCCCAGGCTGGTCTTCACCATATTGCCCTGACCTCAAGATGATCCACCTGCCTGGGCCTCCCAAACTGCTGGGATTACAAGTGTGAGCCACCATGCCTGGCTATGAGTTCTACTTCTGTTTTTTTTTTTTTTTTTTTTTTTTTTTTTTTTTTTGAGACGGAGTCTCGCTGTCGCCCAGGCTGGAGTGCAGTGGCGAGATCCCAGCTCCCTGCAACCTCTGCCTCCCGGGTTCAAGCCATTCTCCTGCCTCAGCCTCCCGAGTAGCTGGGACTACAGGCGCCCACCACCACACCAGGGTAATTTTTTGTATTTTTAGTAGAGACAGCATGTCACCATGTTGGTCAGGCTGGTCTCGAACTCCTGACCTCATGATCCACCTGCTTGGGCCTCCCAAAGTGCTGGGATTCCAGGCGTGAGCTGCCGCACCCGGCTGAGTTTCTGCTTCTAAAGGCTGCACAGATAACAGTGTCAAGCACAGAGTCTCCACTCGAGAAATATTGGAAGAATGAAAAACAATAAAAATGAATACACAGCACGCACTTACCTGTCAGGCCTCACATTAAATACATTTCACATTTTATCACATTTAGTCCTTCTATCTACCTATGAAACCAGTAATAAATAGCATTCACTCCATTCAACACTTGAGGCAACTAAGAGGTCAACTAACTCCTCAAGGTTTCTCCATAACCTGGACGGCCAAGATTCCAGGAAGGCTGGCTATTGAGTCCACAGGACTCAGTACATTGCTTCTGCTGAGTGAGGCTGACTTTACAGAAGTAGCAACTGAGGCCCCGAGAGGGGGAACGATTTTACACCGGCATGCTGCCACTATAATTAGAGGCAGGGCAAAACCAGGCTAAACAAACTACAATTCCCATGAGCCTCCGGGGGCAGGGGCCCAGCCAGGGACGCTGCAGGCTACCCTGGGGCCTGCTGGGAGATGTAGTTCTGCAGTGTCACCTGAGACTGGGCGGGCTCACTCACCGCAGGACATAGGAACGGGCAGGTGCGCTCTTGTAGATATACTGCGCCAGCCACCACTGCACCGTCATGTTCCAGTACCGCATGCCATCGCGCACCCGCACGCAGAAATCTGTGCTGTAGCAGTCGATGTTGCGGATGGTCTCATAGTCATACTCCAAGGAAGCCGCCTTCTCCGGACTGGGGGGTGGAGGATGAGGGTGGGGGACAGACATGCAGCTCAGCCAGGCCCCCTCCCGACGCCTGCTAGTGTCCCAGCCCCGGATGCTAAGGAAGGGATCCTGGCCAGGCAATGGCCCTCTGGCTGTCAGACTTGCTAGGGCAGCAAGGGAGGGTGGCCCAGAGGGTGCCTGTAGGGTAGGAAGGTGGGTGGGCTGGGTGGTACAGTTCACTGACAATGGGGTTCTTCTTCTTTTGGTACCTAATGGGGCCCGCCACAGCCATGAAAAGCCTTGAAGGGCTATGGTTGCTAAGCTATGAGTCCTTTAGCAACCAAACTCAGTATATTCAGAGAAGCCGCCAAGGATGGTCCCTTCTAAATTGTCGGACACTGCAGTTGCCAGGGAAGTTGTGGTTATCATCCCTAATAACAAGGTGCTTCACGGTTGCTAGGGAGATGTTCCAGGCGCCAGTGGGGTCCCCATGATCTTTGTTGCTAAGGAAAAGGCATTCCTTAGCAACAATGCCTAGGATGTTTAGAAAGGCTTTTAGGAAGGGGCTTTTTTCCTGGTCGCAGTGATTATTGGAGAAGTGTCACCTCTAGCAATACAGTGGCTCCCTCATCACTCATGTCGACAGCCCCAGCAGTGGGAAACACTGGCCCATATGAAGCCTTGGTGGCCTCTGATGACAGGAGGGGAGCCATCCTTTAGGAGTGAGGACCGAGCAGATTTAGAAAAACCTTCAATTCCTGCTTGGCTTTACTAGGGGGACATCCTCTCTCTAGCAGCTGGAGGTCAGGGCACGGTTATTAGGGCAGTGGTAACAAATTCCCGTGGGGGTGTCACTACCCCCACAACAGAATGGCAGTTTGTGACGACTAGGGGACAACCCTAGCAGGGAGTAGTAGTTCATCATTTACATCAACAGGCTGTTCCCCCAGCCGCAGTCCAAGCCCCTGGGGGAAGGCTGACTGCAGCTGTCAGGAACACAAGGGCAGTCTACTCCTGGTTGCCGGGGGTGCCATCTCCCTAGCAACACGGGGGCAATACTTCCTCAGCCACAAGAGAGTCCACAGCTATGGCCGTGCGACTTGCCTAGCAATGCAGGTGCCGGGGGGTGGAGCCTCTCTGGCAACAAGGGTCAACCCATAGTTTCCAGGGGGAGGTTTGGCTTCCTTAGCAACAGTGTAACTGTAGTTGGTAGGAATGGCGTGCCCTCTGCTGGGGAACAGCACTGGTCAGGGATTGGAAATTGCTATTTCCTTGCAGAGGGCTGCTGAGGGCTGCTATGTGAGGACATCCCACGGGGTGGAGCAGTGCTAGCTCCTAGCAACAAAGGGGCAGTGCAGGGAGTGCCGTATCTGCAGCAACAGAGCAAAACTTCTGGTAAAAAGGAGGTGAGCTACTGTTGCTAGGGATCCTGCTTCCCTAGCAAATAGTGGCGTTCTGTTGCTAGGGAACCGTTTCCCTAGCAACAGAGGGTGACCCACCACTAGCAAAGGATGGCATCCCCAGCAAGCAGGAACAATCTGGTTCTGGGGGGTGACACTTCTGTGGCAACAGAGGGGTGGCACAGGGTTGCTAAGTTACCACCTTTTCCTAGCGACAGGGGGCAGTTCACCACACTGCGGGGTGACAAGCGCTAGCAACAAGGGGCATCTGTCAGTACCAGGGATCTTTTCCCTACCGACAGGGGCTGGCAGGCCATGGTTGCCGAGGGGGCGACACTCTGCTCAAAAAGGTGGTGGCCCTGGCCCCTTGCTCCCCGCTCTCCTCCCGGCTAGGGGCAGAGCCAGCCCTTGGAGGTGGGGGCTGCTGGGTCTTGGGAAGCCTCCCTCGCGCCGCCTGACCTGCTGGGGGGTGGGCATTGGAGGGTGGGGCCGCCTCCGGCCCGGGCTTTGGCGGCCACGGGGTAGGCCCCAAAGCCGGCGGCAATGCAGCCGCACTCGGCGGCAATCCAGGCCACGTAGAAGCGCATGCGGAAGGCGAAGAAGACGGGGATCATGTAGAAGAGGCGGGCGGGCAGCGGGCGGGCGTAGAAGGCGTCCTCGCGCACGGCCTCCAGCGGGAAGAGGTGAGAGGAGAGCAGGAACAGCAGGCCGAAGAGCGGGGCCGGCCAGGCGCGGCGCAGCAGGGGCCGCAGGCTGGGCACTGCCCCGGGGAAGGGCTGCTCCAGCCAGTCCAGGTAGGTGCGGTAGCGGAAGAACGGGCCTGTGGGGCGGGGAGGGAGGGCCGCGGTCAGACAGGCAGGTGGGCAGAGCTCAAGTCTGCAGGAGGAGGACAGGGAGCTTGGAAGGAAGGTGGGAAGAGGGAGTGAGAGGGGCAGAGACTGGGCGCCGGGGAGACCCCAAGGGTAGGGACTGAGACCCTGAGAGATGGGGATAAGGAACGAGAGACAGGGGGGACAAGAAACTCAGAGAGACAGAGACAGTAACAGAAAAACAGACAGAGGGGCCGGTGCGGTGGCTCACACCTGGAATCCCAGCACTTTGGGAGGCCTAGCTGGGAGGACTGCTTGAGCCCAACAGTTGGACAGCAGCCTGGGCAAAACGGCAAGACCCCATCACTACAAAAAATAAAAATCAGCCAGGTGTGGAGGGCACCTGAATTCCCAGCTACTGGGGAGGCTGAGGCGGGAGGATCGTTTGAGCCCAGGCTGCAGTGAGCAGTGACTGAGCTACTGCATTCCAGCCAGGGAGGGAGGGAGGGAGGGAGGGAAGGAGTGAAGAAGGGAAGAAAGAAGGGAGGGAAGGAGGGAAGGAAGGAGGGAGGGAAGGAGGGAAGGAAGAAGGGAGGGAAGGAGGGAAGGAAGGAGGGAGGGAGGGAAGGAGGGAAGGAAGGAGGGAGGGAAGGAGGGAAGGAAGGAGGGAGGGAGGGAAGGAGGGAAGGAAGGAGGGAGGGAAGGAGGGAAGGAAGAAGGGAGGGAAGGAGGGAAGGAAGGAGGGAGGGAGGGAAGGAGGGAAGGAAGGAGGGAGGGAGGGAAGGAGGGAAGGAAGGAGGGAGGGAGGGAGGGAAGGAGGGAAGGAAGGAGGGAGGGAAGGAGGGAAGGAAGGAGGGAGGGAAGGAAGGAGGGAGGGAAGGAGGGAAGGAAGGAGGGAGGGAAGGAAGGAGGGAAGGAAGGAGGGAAGGAAGGAGGGAGGGAAGGAAGGAGGGAGGGAAGGAAGGAGGGAGGGAGGGAGGGAAGGAGGGAAGGAAGGAGGGAGGGAAGGAGGGAAGGAAGGAGGGAGGGAAGGAAGGAGGGAGGGAAGGAGGGAAGGAAGGAGGGAGGGAAGGAAGGAGGGAAGGAAGGAAGAAGGGAAAAGGGAAGGACGGAGGGAAGGAGGAAGGAAAGAAACTAGGAGATAGCTGTGGCACTTTAGCTACAATATGATGGTGGTCTGGCCTAGGGAGGAAGCAGTGTGATTCACAGAAGGGACCGGGGTTAAAATTTTTATATGTTCACAAAGGCCGTATGTTTAGGTCAATGTAGCATGGGAAGATAAAAGGAAAAAAAAAACAAATTAAAATAAATAAATAAGACCACATGTTGTATGATTCCATTTGTAAGCGCAATGTCCAGAACAGGCAAATCTTTACAGATAGAAAGTCAATTACTGGTTACCAGGGATGGATGGAGGTTTGTGGGATGATGGACATGGGGTTTCTTTGCAGGGTATGAAACTGTTCTGAATATAACTACACAATGGTCATGTCTGCACAACTCGGTGAATATACTAAAAATCAGGGAGTTGTATGTTTTGTGTTTTTTTTTTTTTCCAGGAAATTAAAGAAGCCAAGAGTTGTATGTTTTAAGTGGATGAGTATGTGAATTAGAGTTCCCTAAAGCTGTTATTGGAAAAAAAACCTTTGATGAGGTAAACATTAATGAAAAATATTTTCTTTTTAAAATTTCACATATATATACACATACACACATACATATATATACACACATGCACACACACATACATATGTATTTTTTGAGATGGAGTCTTGCTCTGTTGCCCAGGATGGAGTGCAGTGGTGTGATCTTGGCTCACTGCAAACTCCGTCTCGTGGGTTCAAGCGATTCTCCAGTTTCAGCCTCCCAAGTAGCTGGGATTACAGGCACACACCACCATGCCCGGCTAATTTTTGTATTTTCAGTAGAGACGGGGTTTCACCATGTTGGCCAGGCTGGTCTCAAACTCCTGACCTCAGGTGATCTGCCTGTCTCAGCCTCCCAAAGTGCTGGGATTACAGGCGTGAGCCACTGCGCCCGGCCCTTTTAATTTTATATTTATTTATTTTTTAAAAATAAAGGTTTAAAATAAAGGGACGGGATCTTGCTATGTTGGCCAAGTTGATCTTGAACTTTTGGCCTCAAGCAATCCTCTCGCCTCAGCCTCCGAAAGTGCTAGGATTATAGGCATAAGCCCCCACGCCCAGATGAAAAATATTTCCTTAAGCTGAAAGTGGACCCTAAGCCGTGAATATTTGTTGTCTGGGAAGCAAAAACATCAGGTTGACATAGATCTTTACCTCCTTTATCTCTTCTCTTTGCTCCCAATACGCTACAAGGAGAAGAGCAAGGAATTGCTTAGGTTGAGACAGCCAGCTTCTACCCCAAAGCAGCTCTGGTCCAGCGGAGGTGTGAGACGTAGACCCAGACACATGCCCACCCTCACAGCAGCAGATGCTAGGATGGAGGTTGCCCTGGGCAGGGCGGGAACACACAACAGGCACTCAGGGCGGAAGGGGACACAGGAGACAGAGCGGCAGAGTTGTTAGGGCAGCCCCACTCACCTGTCATGATTCCCACGTAGCAGTAGCTGTAGCTGAGTGTCTCCATCAGGGAGGGCACGTCGGGCAGCAGCCCCAGGGTGGGCCCCTTGCTGAAGCCTGAGGCCATTTCCTTCCTCTGGGCCAGATGCAGGTCCTGGACTTCACTGGCCAGGCTCACCAGCTGGGCAGAAGGGGGTGGGCAAGGGGCCAGGTCAGACTCTGGGCCCTTCCCCACACCCATCTCCCTTGCGCGGCTGCCCTCGGCAGCCAAGGGGTGCTGGGTGCCCGCAGCTCTGCCCATCTAGGTTGTGTGTAACGCCTCTAGCTGGGCGGTGTTCCCCAGGGCTCAGTCCCAGGCCCTCCTCCCCTTTCCCTGTTCTGTGCTTACCTGCTCTCACGCAATCACGGAGGTTTCGATACTATCCACACGCTGAGGACGCCCAAACGCTACCCCAGCCCCAGACCTATCCAATCAAGTGGCTTATTGGCATTTATACTCGGATGTCTCCAGGCACCCCAAACGCACTGGAAACGGAACATGATGTTACCCACCCCACAAGGTAGACCCTCTTCTAGTGTCTCCCCTCAAACAACAGGCCACCAAATTGTTCAAGCCAAAAATCTCCCTCACTCCCCAAATCCGATCCTTTAATCTCTCTTTTTTTTTTTTTTTTTTTTTGAGACAAGTTTTGCTCTGTCACCCAGGCTGGAGTATACTGGTGTGATCTCGGCTCACTGCAACCCCCACCTCCTGGGGGCGCAAGCAATTCTCATGCCTCAGCTGGCCAGGCTGGTCTCGAACTCCTGGCCTCAAGTGATCTGCCCGCCTTGAAATCCCTTAAGTTTGAGTCTGTTGCCTCTTTCCATCTCCACTACTGAGCTGAATATGTTGTACTCTCCACCCTTTCCCACCAGTCCCAAGGTCCACCCTATATCAATAGATCTCCTTCTTCCAGCTTGTGGCTGGGTTGTCAGTAGAAATCCCTGGCTGGAGACAAAGTCAGGAGAGGGAGGGTAGGGCTTTTATTCCCTTGTAAGATGGCCTTGGGCTGGCTGTCACCCTTGATAGATCATTTCAAGGTGGGTGGCTCTACACACCCTTTAAAAAAAATAATTTTGGCCGGGCGCGGTGGCTCACGCCTGTAATCCCAGCACTTTGGGAGGCCGAGGCAGGCGGATCACCTGAGGTTGGGAGTTCGAGATCAGCCTGACCAACATGGAAAAACCCTGTCTCTACTAAAAATACAAAAAATTAGCCGGGCATGGTGGTGAGTGCCTGTAATTCCAGCTACTCAGGAGGCTGAGGCAGGAGAATCGCTTGAACCTGGGAGGCGGAGGTTGCGGTAAGCCAAGATCGTACCATTGCACTCCAGCCTGGGCAACAGGAGTGAAACTCCGTCTCAAAAAAAAAAAAAAAAAAAAAATTTAGGGCCAGGTGTGACGGCTCACACCTATAACACTAGCACTTTGGTTGGCCTAGGCAGGCAGATCACTTGATGTCAGGGGTTTGAGACCAGCCCGGCCAACATGGTGAAACCCCATCTCTACTAAAAATATAAAAATTAGCAAGGCGTGGTGGTGGGCGCCTGTAGTCCCAGCTACTCGAGAGGCTGAGGCAGGAGAATCGCTCGAACCCGAGAGGCAGAGGTTGCAGTGAGATCACACCACTGCACTCCAGCCTGGGCAACAGAGCGAGACTCCATCTTTAAAAATAAATAACATTTAAAAAATTAATTTTTTGTAGAGACAGGGTCTCACTATATTGCCCAGGCTGGTCTTAAACTCCTGGCCTCCAGCAGTCCTCCCACTATGACCTCCCAAAGCGCTGGGATTATACAAGTATGAGCCACTGCACCAGGCCTACACAACCCTTTTTCCATCCAGGTACCACAACCTGACCCATTTCCCCTGGGCCTAGGGTTGGGAACGGCTCCTTCTGCGGGGCTGGGGTTCAGGCACCATCCCTTCTTGCTCTTCTACATCCTGCCCAATTGGTGGCCACTCCTTCAGTCATCCTAAATGCGCGTTTCCTGCTGCAACTCAGACCTACCCACAGCCAGCCAACGGCCTGTATCAAGCCACCACAGTTTGTCACCTGGACTCGGACAAAGGAGGATCCCTTTATCTGAGTCCATCCCATCTTGCCCTGTTCCACTTCAATTCTCCTTCAGCATCCAGAACGAGTTTTCTTTCTTTTCTTTTCTTTTTTTTTTGAGATGGAATCTTGCCCGGGAAGGCCCAGGCTGGAGTGCAATGGCGGGATCTTGGCTCACTGCAACCTCCACCTTCCAGGTTCAAGCAATTATCCTGCCTCAGCCTCCTGAGTAGCTGGGATTACAGGTGTGAGCCACCACACCCGGCTCATTTTTGTATTTTTAGTAGAGACGGAGTTTTACCATGTTGGCCAGGATGGTCTCAAACTCCTAACCTCAGGTGATCTACCCGCGTCAGCCTCCCAAAGTGCTGGGATTACAGGCGTGAGCCACCGCAGCTGGCCTAGAATGAGTATTTCTATTTGTTTATTTATTTTTGAGATGGAGTTTTGCTCTTGTTGCCCAGGCTGGAGTGCAATGGTACGATCTCAGCTCACCACAACCTCCGCCTCCTGGGTTCAAGCAATTCTCCTGCCTCAGCCTCCCGAGTAGCTGGGATTACAGGTATGTGCCACCACGCCCAGCTAATCTTTTGTATTTTTAGTAGAGACAGGGTTTCTCCATTTTGGTCAGGCTGGTCTTGAACTCCCGACCTCAGGTGATCCGCCTGCCTCAGCCTCCCAAAGTGCTGGCATTACAGGCGTGAGCTACTGTGCCCAGCCAGAACGAGTATTTTTAAACATTTAAAACTGGTCACATTGCCTCTTCTGGCAGCAAACCAAAAATCCCCTCTTCCAGCAGATCTCAATCCTCCACGGGAAGAAGTCCAATGTCCTCACGGTCTCCAGCCAGGCCTAGCACGGTGTCAGCCCTGCTGCCTGTTCCCTTTTGCTCGTCCCAGAAAGTGGATGTGGCTGGTGTAGCCTGTGGAACCCAGCCTGCTCCCCTCCACACATCCTGCGGCCTGAAATGCTCCTCCACGAACCCCTCTCTCATCCAACCTACTCCTGCCACCACTGAGCTCCCACAGGGCACACTGAATGCTGGGAAGGCCACTCCCTACCTAGCATGACTGCTGTGTTCACGGATAAGCCGCCAGTAGGAAACCATGACTCTGTGGGTCTGGGGTGGGCCCTAGGATTCTGTTTTTACCCCTCTTCCCAGGTGATTAGGAGCCAGACCTGGATGCCCTAGTTTTGTTCCCTTCACCAAGTACCTTCTCCCCAGAGCTGGTTTTTCTCCTTTGCAAAATAGCTGGCTACAGAGATTCAAGGACAGCATGTTGGTAAACCACCCAGCTGGGCCTCTGGCACACCGCAAGCACCCAATGGCACCTACTGTTACCTATGTGGGTTATTTCCTCACCCCAGGAGGAGCTGGGAGGTGAAGACCTGCCCAAGGGCATGTGAATGGGGAATGCTGTGCCCAGGGCAGCAAGTGAGGTGACGTCCCACCCCCAGGGTGTGTTGGAGGTAAAATCCCGGGGAGCCACTGAAGGGGGAGGTAAAGTGGGAGGTGAAGGGGCCCACAGGGAGGCTGGAGGGGAGTGGCAAGCCCCGAGTCTGACCTTCAGCGTCAGCAGCAGCTGGACGGCATTGGTGAAGGGCGTGGGAGTGGGCAGGCCCAGGAGGCTGAGGGCTCGGAAGAACAGGAGATAGGAGAAAGTCCAGGCCAGAGCCAGGGCGTGGCAGGAGCTGGGCAAAAGCAGGAGGCGCACTGTGTTGGGCACAGAAGTCTCGGCCTTGGCCATTCACTCCACGAGTCCAGCCACCAATCCTCCCCCAGCTCTCCCCATTCGTTTAGAGACAGAAACACAGAAGGGCAGAGAGGACAGGAGGGTGGATGTAGGGACCGAATGAGTATGATTGAAACAGTGGGAGAAGAGGCTCAGCCACATAGAAACACACACCAACAGAGAATGAGGTTAAGAGAAGCTTCAGGTGAAGACCCTGCAATCCTCCACTTTTTCTTTATTTCCGAGGTCCAGGGCTCAAGAAGAGAGAGGTGGATATGAATGAATATGAACGGTGGCCAGGCCAGCAGACACACTGTCCACCTCTCTCCATGACATGGATGTAGCGGACTGGGACAAACACACAGGGACCAGACGCAGAAGGCAGGGGAGAAAGAAAAGCAGATGAAGGCCGGATACGGTGGCTCACGCCTGTAATCCCAGCACTTTGGAAGGCTGAGGTGGGCAGATCACAAGGTCAGGAGTTCGAGATCAGCCTGACCAACATGGAGAAACCCCGGCTCTATTAAAAATTCAAGATTAGCCAGGCGTGGTGGAGCATGCCTGTAGTCCCAGCTACTTGGGAGGCTGAGGCAAGAGAATCGCTTGAACCCGGGAGGTGGAGGTTGCAGTGAGCCAAGATCGTGCCACTGAACTGCAGCCTGGGCAACAGGAGCGAAACTCCATCTCAAAAAGAAAGAAAGAAAGAAAAACAAACAAACAAACAAACATGAAACAGAGAAATGAGCTGATCAACAAGAGACAGCTAGAGATGAGGCAGAAGCTGAAAAAGACTCAAAGAGGAAACAGGTTGCTTCCCCCTCTCCCCTCCTCTCCCTCTCCTCCCTCCACCAAATTCTCACCAGGGCTGGGCCTGAATGAGGGCCCAGGTCCCGAGGATGGTGACCAGAGAATGCAAAGTGTGGGGGCCACAGGTGAACAGGGTGAGCCCCAGGCCCACAGCGGCTGCTCCCCATCTCTTCAGCCCAGGACCTGCAGGGGGAAGGGACAGCATAAGCCTGGAACCTTCCAGAGGGTCCCCCCCCTTTATTTTCCACTGGGGAGGGAGCCTGACTCACCGGCTTTCTTAAAGAGGAAGCCGATGGGGATGGAGATAAGAAGAACCACTAGATACGTCCATTCTTCAGGCGACATGGTCTGGGGGAGGGGCAGAGATTCACAGTGAGAACCCAGGAATCCAGGCCCCCTGCCTCCTCCCTCTTCGAGGATCCAGGAACCCAGCCTTCTAGACCCCAGTTTTTGAGGATGATGGAGTATGAGCCTCAGCTCCTCTCCTTTGAGAACCTAGCAACCCGGACTCCAGCCCCTTCCTCCTTGGAGGAGACAGGAATCCACCCCCAGCCCCTCCTTTGAGCGCACAGGCCTCCAGCTCTCCTGTCCTTGGAGAACCCAGGAAAGTGTGGGGATCTCCCAGCACCCAAGCCCCTCCTTTGCGAACGCAGAAATCAAAGCTACTCCCCGCACCCATACTGGGGACCCAGATTTGAAGACGCCCCTCTTTTAAAAACCCAGAAACGGCACCCC
The DNA here is from genome assembly GCF_000001405.40 of Homo sapiens. Classification (NCBI taxonomy): domain Eukaryota; kingdom Metazoa; phylum Chordata; class Mammalia; order Primates; family Hominidae; genus Homo; species Homo sapiens. Next base: position 163,867 of record NW_003571057.2, read on the forward strand.
TCCCGGACCCTTCCTCTTCGACAGCCCAGGAATCTAGACCTCCGAGCCCCCTCTTCCAGCGAGGATCCAGGAACCCAGACCCCCTCTTTGGATCCCCCATCCCCCGGCCCTTGTGAAACCAGATATCCGGACCCCCCAGCCCTTCTTCGAGACCACCCAGAGGAGCCCGGGTCTCCAACCTGCACCTCCTTCGGAGCTCCACACCCCTCTCCTACTGAGAACCCGGGGATCGAACACCCTCCCCTCCCCAGGCCCAGGCCCAGGCCCAGCCCCAACCCGTCCCGCGCACCCCAGCGCATCCCCGGCAGAGCCACAGGCGGTTGCGCCAGCCCCGAGTTCCAACGCGCCTCCGGGGCCGCCCCGCACCCGCCAGCCCGCAGAGACCCTGCCGCCGTGTAACCTCGCCTCGCCACTGGGCGCCGCCACCCTGGCCCACCTGAGCTGCTCGCCGGGCAGGAGGCGGCCGAGCAGTCCCAGCCCGCTTGCCGCCGCAGCTCCGGCCACGCCTCCCCCGCCCAGCGCGCCCCCGCGCCGCCTGCTCCTTCTGGGCGCCCGCCGGGCTGCGCAGATCAGGCCGGGGAAGAAGCCACGGTCAGGGCCCCGGGCGGGCAGGGAAGAAGCCCCGGAGCAGAAGCCGAGAGCGCGAGTCGGCAACGGGATTCGAGTCCAGGTCCACACTGGGATCCGAGCTCCGAGTACGTGAAGGGGCGGGCCTTCGGGCTCGGAACAAGGAGGAGCCAAAAGCTTTGGACCCGAAGGGGAACAGACGGGCTCCGGAAAGGAGGCGGGGTCTGGAGCTCGCCGTGAGGAATGAGGCGGGGTCTCCCTTCGGGTTCCTTCGGGCACAATCGGGAGCTTGAGTTCTCCGGAAGCGGGGCCACAAACTTCGGCTCACTTCGGCAATAGTCGAGAACGGAGAGCTGAGGCCAGTGTGGGCGGAGCCACATGTTTCGGCTTTCTTCGGAGGTAGTCGAGTCCTTAGGGTCACTGTTCCGATGTGGGCGGGGCCACAGACTCGGCCGGATGTGGGTGGGGCCACAAGCTTCGGTTTACTTCGTAGATAGTTGGGTACAAGTGACGCTAGGATGATAGGCGGAGTCAACAGGTTCGCCAGATACCCATGAGTATTTACAAGGGGGCGGGGCGAAAGCGACTTGCCCTCAAAGGGGCGGAACCCCGAGGGCCGGCGTGCGCCTACGGGACCGGGCCAGGGTGACGATCCTCAAGTTCCCAAGTAGAGGAGAGGAAGCGGCAGAGGGAGGTGCGCTCAGTGGGGCGGAGCCAAGGTGGCCCCCGCGGGAGGAGGGCGGGGCTTCGGTCCTGCGAGGGGCGGGACCTGACTTCCCGCGGCGCTGATGGGGCGGGATGACGAAGTTGACGAGGGTGTCGGCATGAGGGGGTGGAGCAAGGAGCGCGTGGCGCGGTGCGCAGTGGGTGGCTCCACCTCGACTGCGAATTACTGTTTATGAGGTGACTCGCTGGTTCTATCGGTGGACAGTGGGACATTCTGAAGGGAGGCAAGGAGGCGGACTGAGCGCTCCCAATTGGGGTGAGCCCGCCCGAGCGGAGAGTGGACGGCGGGTGTCCAGGGGGCGGGGCTTTCGGCTGTGGGGTTCGGTCGTAGGGCGGGAACTCCCCAACTGGGGTGCGCTGGCGCTCGGAGGGGGCGGGGCCACAGGCCGCGAGGCTGCCGGGAGCCGATGACGCCCGAACGCCGAACCTATTGCGTCCGGGAGGAGGCGGGGCTACGGATTCGGCCGAGCCGAGAACACCCGAACGTCAAATTGCTGGCGTTCGGGAAGGGGGCGGGGCTGCGGATTCGGTGGAGCCGAGGACGCCCGAACGCCGAACTTCCTGTGCTCGGGAGGGGGCAGGGTTTTGTACTGTGGGAGTCTGAGAGCGAGGAGGTCCGAAAGCCGAATCACAGTCGTTCGGAAAGAGGAGGAGCGAAGGCTCGAGCGTCCGGAAGAGGGTGTGGCCTCGGCGGTGCCTTAGCCTCCAGAGCTTCTGACCGCTGACGGGAACACCCGAAGGGGGACGCCCACTTTGCAAGAGGGTGGTGCCAAAATGGACCTTTGTAAGGGGGCGTGTCGCCGCGCTTGCGGAGGTTTGTTTTTCACGCTCCAAGGCGCAATGGTAGGTACGGCAGTGCGGGCACAGAGCGGGTGCCGACCGCAGGGTCACAAGGGTAGAGCGGGACCCTGGGGGCTTGGCGAGGGGCGAGGGTCGGGGGCTTGTCTCCGGCGTCTCGTCTCCGGCGGCCGCGAGGCCTGGTGGGATCGCCCGGGGGCGGGGCCTGGCGCTCGGGCCCAGCAGGTGGTGAACGGCGGCTGAGCGAGGCCCCGCCCCCTGAGGCCTAGGGGCGGGGCTTCGCCGAGACCCCGGAGGCTTTGGGTGCGCTGCAGCGGTCTGCGGCGCGCAGCTGTTTCGGTAACTGCTTTGCCTCCCGGCTCCCGCAGGAGGATGCTGGTGGTGGAGGTGGCGAACGGCCGCTCCCTGGTGTGGGGAGCCGAGGCGGTGCAGGCCCTCCGGGAGCGCCTGGGTGTGGGGGGCCGCACGGTAGGCGCCCTGCCCCGCGGGCCCCGCCAGAACTCGCGCCTGGGCCTCCCGCTGCTGCTGATGCCCGAAGAGGCGCGGCTCTTGGCCGAGATCGGCGCCGTGACTCTGGTCAGCGCCCCGCGTCCAGACTCTCGGCACCACAGCCTGGTAAGGGGGCGGGGCTCGAACTCGGGTTCGGTGGGAGCGGGACCTGGGAGTCAAGTTTCCTGGCTTCTGAAGGGACCATAAGCTTGGAGGTTCCAGCGAAGTGTGCTTCTCAGGCCCTGACATCCTTCAAGCGCCAGCAAGAGGAGAGCTTCCAGGAGCAGAGCGCCTTGGCAGCTGAGGCCCGGGAGACCCGTCGTCAGGAGCTCCTGGAGAAGATTACGGAGGGCCAGGCTGCTAAGAAGCAGAAACTAGAACAGGCTTCAGGGGCCAGCTCAAGCCAGGAGGCCGGCTCGAGCCAGGCTGCCAAAGAGGATGAGACCAGTGATGGCCAGGCTTCGGGAGAGCAGGAGGAAGCTGGTGAGCATGGGAGGTGGAGTCCAGGGACCACGGGAAGGAGAGGAGAGATCTTTTAGGAATTTTAGCTGGGAATCCAGTGCCTGGGTCTCCCTGAGGGTGAGAAGACTTTACCCCTTGAATTTACCAAACTCTTCTCTGTACTCCCCACCAGGCCCCTCGTCTTCCCAAGCAGGACCCTCAAATGGGGTAGCCCCCTTGCCCAGATCTGCTCTCCTTGTCCAGCTGGCCACTGCCAGGCCTCGACCGGTCAAGGCCAGGCCCCTGGACTGGCGTGTCCAGTCTAAAGACTGGCCCCACGCCGGCCGCCCTGCCCACGAGCTGCGCTACAGTATCTACAGAGACCTGTGGGAGCGAGGCTTCTTCCTCAGTGCGGCTGGCAAGTTCGGAGGTGACTTCCTGGTCTATCCTGGTGAGTATGGGTTGGGGCCTCTGGTTGCTGTGCCTTTCCATACGATCCCAATGTATTCTGCGTTTTTCTTTTTTTTTTTTTTGTCTTAATAGAGGTGGGGTCTCTTGTTGCTTAGGCTGGTCCCTATTCCTGGGCTCAAGCAATCCTTCCACCTCGGCCCCCCAAAGTGCTGGAATTATAGGCCCAGCTGCATTTTTCTTTTTTGTCTCACTTTCTCTTAGCCTCTGAAATTCATAGACAGACAGGAAACATTTGGGAGCTCCTGAACTCATTGGGCAAGCAGTTTAACGACTTTTATTAAATGATTACTGTGATCCAGAAGATTCACTTAGAAGTAGTTAGACATCAGGCTGGGCGCAATGGCTCACGCCTGTAATCCCAACACTTTGGGAGGCCAAGACAGGTGGATCACCTGAGGTCAGGAGTTTGATACCAGTCTGGCCAACATGGTGAAACCCCATCTCTACTAAAAATACTAAAACTAACTGGGCGTGGTGGTGGGTGCCTGTATTTCCAGCTACTCGGGAGGCTGAAGCAGGAGAATCATGTGAACCCAGGGGGCAGAGGTTGTAGTGAGCCAAGATCGTGCCATTGCACTCCAGCCTGGGGGACAAGAGCGAGACTTTGTCTCAAAAAAAAAAAAAAAAAAAAGCCTAGAAGTGGAATAGTTGTGTCCAAGAGCATCTGTTTTAGAGTATCTATAGTGATGGCTGAAATGATCTCAGATCTCCTCCCAGTGGTCGTTCCCGTGGCGTCCAGCCGTCTGCCATTGGTCACTGCTTCAGTGCCTCTCTCCTTCCCCCAGGTGACCCCCTCCGCTTCCACGCCCATTATATCGCTCAGTGCTGGGCCCCCGAGGACACCATCCCACTCCAAGACCTGGTTGCTGCTGGGCGCCTTGGAACCAGCGTCAGAAAGACCCTGCTCCTCTGTTCTCCGCAGCCTGATGGTAAGGTGGTCTACACCTCCCTGCAATGGGCCAGCCTGCAGTGAACTCCAGAGACCTAGGGGATGTGGCTGTGTCGGCAGCAAGAGCCTTTCTGGATGTTCCCCAGCTCTTCTCTGGGAGTCTAGAACATCCTCCTACCTTTCTCCGCGGTTAGTTTTTGATTCCAGGTTTTCGAACACTACATCTTTTTTATGTTCTTCCTTGTTTCAAAGCACTTATTGGCTGTGTTTTTGTAGTTACCTATTTTCACACTGTGAGCTTCCCGAGAATGGGGCCTGGGTTTGATTCATCTGTTTTCTACAGGGTTTAAGTCTCAGGAGGTCTCAATAAACTTGGTATATAAATGTTCATGATTTGAATGTTTGCGACAGTCCTGGAACCCGTGGATGGTCTCATCTGCATGTACAGGTGAGAAAAAGGCCTGGAGGGGGGGGACTGACTTGCCCAAAGTCACACACTTAGTAAATAGCAGGCCTGGCCTTTCAAAATTGGTTTTTCTGACTCCTAAATCTGCACTCTTTCTACCTCACTAAACTTCCTCTTGAAAAGATTTCTATGAAATTTCCCAGATGCATACAAACGTTATAAATAAAAATATAGGCTGGGCACGATGACCCACACCTGTAATCCCACAGAACTTTTGGAGGCCAAGGCAGGGGGATCGCTTGAGCCCAGGAGTTTGAGACCAGCTCTGGCAACATTGTAATACCCAGTCTCTACAAAAAATAATTTAAAAAAAAATTAGCCAGGGATCCCTTGAGCCTGGGAAGTTGAGGCTGCTGTGAGCTGTGATTGCACCACTGCCCTCCAGCCTGGGAGACAGAGCAAGAACCTGTCTCAAAAAATATATATATGTGTGTGTGTATATATGTAAATATACACACATGTATGTATATATATGTGTGTGTATATATATATATATTATGAAAGGAAATGAGTATTGTAATTTTAGGAGTTCAGAGCCTGGGGAGAAAGGAAGGACTCTGGAAGGCGTTCTGCTTTTTCATGGCCTGGGTAGTGGTGGAGAATTTTTTTGATACTGTATATTTATATTTTAGACTCTTTTTTGGATGTGTTATATTCTGCAATTTTTATAAAAGCTAAAACACATGTATTTGTAAAAAATTTGCACTTATGAAATCATTTACCCATGTTTTTGCTTAAGAAAGTACTAGAACACTACCACTATTCCAATAATTACACCTTTATCTTATCAATGTGCAGTTTTATTTTGTCACGTTTATTTTGTCAGTGTAATACATTCACATGGTGAGTCTGGGCGTGGTGGCTTATGCTTGTAATCCCAGCACTTTGGGAGACCAAGGCGGGCGGATCATGAGGTCAGGAGTTCCAGAGCATCCTGGCCAACATGGCCCGCCTCTATGAAAAATACAAAAATTAGCCGGGCGTGGTGGCGGGCGCCTGTAATCCTAGCTACTCCGGAGGCTGAGGCAGGAGAATCACTTGAATCTGGGAGGTGGAGGTTGCAGTGAGCCAAGGTCACGCCACTGCACTCCAGTCTGGGCGACAGAGCTAGACACTGTCTCAAAAAAACAAAAACAAACAAAAACTTCCACATGGTAAAATTCTGGGGCTGAAAGTCTCCACCTCTAGTTCTTCCATTTCTTCCCCCCATGTTTCATTCTTTCTCTTTTTTGTGTGAATTGAGCAGCCTCTGGAACCAGAATAGGTTTAGAGAGACTCCCATCTCCCCTCTTTCTTGCCATTCCCAGTAAACAGACTTCATAGAATCTCAATTTCCTGTAAGTTTAGATTAATTTAAAATATGACACTGGGCCAGGCGTGGTGGCTCACACCTGTAATCCCAGCACTTTGGGAGGCTGAGGTGGGCAGATGAGTTTGAGATCAGCCTGGCCAATATGGTGAAACCCCATCTCTACTAAAAATACAAAAAAAAAAATTAGCCGGGCGTGGTGGCATGCGCCTGTACTCCTAGCTACTCAGGAGCCTAAGGCAGGAGAATCACTTGAATCCAGGAGGCAGAGGTTGCAGTGAGCCAAGATCGCACTACTACACTCCAGCCTGGGCAACAAGAGCTAAACTCCATCTCAAAAAAATAAAAAGAAAAGAAAAAAAATGACGCTAACCCCTGTCTGGCCAATACTCTCTTTGTGCCTGCTTCATAATTGGCTTTGTAAGTCTATTCTCCACCCTTTCTCCTCTCTACAACAAAGTACTTAGAAGTCTCATTCCCTCTGTCATGAGTCTCTCCTCTGAAAAGTTCCTCATTTAAAACTCCTGTGGCCAGATGTGGTGGCTCAGACCTGTAATCCTAGCACTTTGGGAGGCCAAGGTGGGAAGATCAGTTGAGCCGCTGAGCTCAGGAGTTTGAGACCAGCCTTGGCTGAACATAGTGAGACCTCATCTCATCTCTATTTAAAACAAACAAACAAAAAAAAACTTTTGTGACTGGTGTCCCCCCATGTTGTCAGTCAACAAATTCTATAGGTGCCATGTTCAAAGCACTGTGGATCCACAGTTAGGCCCCACCCTCCACCTTCACTGCCAGTATCTTAGAAAAACCAAACCATGGCTCATTTGATATTGATAGCTTCCTAACTCATCCCCTGCCTTCCATTCTTGCCCCTCTGTTGTCTGTTTTCAACAGAGCAGCCAGAATCATCGTTTTTTTTTTTGTTTTTTTTTTTTTTTTTTTTTTTGAGGCGGAGTCTCGCTGTCGCCCAGGCTGGAGTGCAGTGGCGCGATCTCTGCTCACTGCAAGCTCCGCCTCCCGGATTCACGCCATTCTCCTGCCTCAGCCTCCCTAGTAGCCGGGACTACAGGCGCCCGCCACCTCACCTGGCTAATTTTTTGTATTTTTAGTAGAGACGGGGTTTCACCATGTTAGCCAGGATGGTCTCGATCTCCTGACCTTGTGATCCACCCGCCTCGGCCTCCCAAAGTGCTGGGGTTACAGGCGTGAGCCACCGCGCCCGGCCAGAATCATCATATTAAAAGATAAGTCAGACCATGTCACAGCTCTGTCTAAAACTTTCCTGGAGTTTTCCATCTCAGAGTAAAACTCAAAGGTCCTACTTTGCAGCTTCCTCATGAACTGGCCATGTGCATTCTCTTCCTTGCTTATTATTATTATTATTATTTATTTTTTTTATTTTTGAGACAGAGTCTTGCTCTGTTGCCCAGGCTGGAGTGCAGTGGCACAATCTCGGCCCACTGCAGCCTCTGCCTCCTGGGTTCAAGTGGGTTCAAGCGATTCTCCCACCTCAGCCTCCCAAGTACCTGGGATTACAGGCGCCTGCCACCACGTCAGGCTAATTTTTTGTATTTTAGTAGAGACAGGGTTTCACCATAATTGCCCAGGCTCGAACTCCTGAGCTCAGGCAATCCGCCCACCTCAGCCTCCCAAAGTGCTAGGATTATAGACATGAGCCACCGTGCCCGGCCAGCTTTGTTCCTCTTTACTGCTGGATATTCCATTGTATGGACATAACCCCATTTTATTTATCCATTCATCAGGTGATTGGCATTTGTTTCTAGTTAAGGACAAGGTTTTGGTTTTGGTTTTTGTTTTATTTACCCTTGTTCATGCAGTATCCCCAGGTCCAAGAACAGTTCCTGGCACACAGCAGTCAATACATTGTTGCTAAATAAATGAGTGGCTTAAACTATAATTTTTAAATCAGGGCTGAGACAATTTGGAAATTATAATTTCTCCTACATGACTTTCTAAGCATATTTTAAATAAATATACATACGTTAAGGTCATTTTTATTAATGAAAATTGTAGCATACTATGCACACTTCTGCATCTTGCTTATTGGATATGCCCAGGCTTGTCTCATTTTTGCCAACAGCTACATGGTTTTGCGTCCTATGGATGGGGCATAATTAGATTTTATTACACTTGTACAAAAGGAAAGGAATTCAGCTCCCCAAGCATGCCCAGCTGGTCCTTGGCAACCCATGATGGAAACCAAGGGTTCCTCTTATATTACCCGTGCTCCTTTCAGAGAGGAAGGGCTAGAGGGCTCCAGCCTGAGTGAGAGAGAGAGAGGAGGAAGCATGAGGGGTTTGTGGAAGAGGGCCTGGTGCCATATGACTGGACCATGCTTCTGAAGAGGATCAGGGTGAGGCCAGATCTCATCAGTTGACCCTTGAGCAACATGGGTCTGAACTGCTCGGGTCCACTTTTATGCAGATTGAAAAAAGTAAAGGTTACACAGAGCATGCCTGCCTCTCCTGCTTTGCCTTTTACCTCCTCCACCTCTGGCACCCTGAGACAGCAAGACCAAACCCTCCTCTTCTTTCTGCACCTCTGCCTACTCAGAATGAAGACAAGGATGAAGACCTTTATGATGATCCACTTCCACTTAATGAATAGTAAATATATTTTCTCTTTTTTAGAATTTTCTTAATATTTTCTTTTTTTTTTTTTTTTGAGACGAAGTCTCGCTCTGTCACCCAAGCTGGAGTGCAGTGGCGCGATCTTAGCTCACTGCAAGCTCCGCCTCCCGGGTTCACGCCATTCTCCTGCCTCAGCCTCCCCGGTAGCTGGGACTACAGGTGCCTGCCACCACGCCCGGCAAATTTTTTGTATTTTTAGTAGAGATGGGGTTTCACCGTGTTAGCCAGGATGGTCTCGATCTCCTGACCTGGTGATCCGCCCGCCTTAGCCTCCCAAAGTGCTGGGGTAACAGGCATGAGCCATCACGCCCGGCCAATATTTTCTTTTCTCTAGCTTAATTCATCATAGGAATACAGAATATAATACATATAGCGTATAAAATATGTGTTAATTGACTATGTTATTGGTAAGGCTTCCAGTCAACTACGAGTAATGTTTTTTTTAAATCCTGAGACAGTGTCTTGCTCTGCCAGCTGGGCTGGGGTGCAGGGGCATGATCTTAGTTCGCTGCTGCCTCAACCTCCTTGACTCAAGCAGTCCTCCCACCACAGCCTCCCAAGTAGCTGGAACTACGGGCACACACCACCACACCCAGTTAATTTTTCTGTTTTCTGTAGAGTCTGGGTTTTGCCGTGTTGCCCAGGCTGGTCTTGAACTCCTGGGCTCAAGTGCTCTGCCCACCTCAGCTTCCCAAATCCCACCTGGGGTTACAGGTGTGAGCCACGGTGCCTGGCCTAGTAGTTAAGTTTTGGGGAAGTCAAAAGTTATATGCAGATTTTCTTTCTTGATTTTTTTTTTTTTTTTTTTGAGGCAGTCTTGCTCTGTCGCCCAGGATGGAGTGCAGTGGTGCGATCTCGGCTCACTGCAATCTCCACGTCCTGGGTTCAAGCGATGCTCTTGCCTCAACCTCCTAAGTAGCTGGGATTACAGGCACCTGCCACCACGCCTGCCTAATTTTTGTATTTTTAGTAGAGACCAGGTTTTGTCATGTTGGCCAGGCTGGTCTCGAACTCCTGACCTCAGTTGATCCGCCGGCCTTGGCCTTCCACATAGTGCTGGGATTACAGGCGTGAGGCACCGCGCCCAGCCTATATGGAGGTTTTCGGCTGAGCTGGGGGTCAGTGCCCCTCGCCCCCAGACTGTACAGAGTCAGCTGTGTTAAGATATTAAGCACCTTCAGTACACAAGACTCTGTGCTGGTTTTCTTTTCTTTTTTTTTTTTTTTTACTCTAAATCATCAAACCCTATGAGGAAAGTCCTGTTACTTTCTCCCATTTAGCACTCTTGAAGAGGCTAATTTGCCTAAGATCAAGAGCTCGTCAGTGACTGCTGAGGTTCAAACGCAGATCTTTTTTAAGACTTGAGAACCTACAGGTTCAACCACCATTATAAAACCATCTCTGTAATCACGAGGCACCCGGAATTTGTGGAGCTTGGACTTCATCCTGAAGGGAGTGAAAACTTATGGAAGTTTTTTCCTTCCACGTTTCCCCCTTCCAGATGAATAATATACGCGTGTTCAAGATACAAAAATGCATAAAATTTGGCCAGGCATGGTGGCTTACACCTGTAATCCCAGCACTTGGGGAGGCTGAGGCGAGTGGATCACTTGAGCCCAGGAGTTCAAGACCAGCCTGGGCAATATGGCAAAACCCCGTCTCAAAACAACAAAACAAACAAACAAAAAACCCATAAAACTGAACAAGGTAGTTTGTAAGATATGGAAGTACAATGCAGATGACAATAATGACGATGGTAGCTACCACTAGGCGCTTTATTTATGCCACTCTCCTCAACACTGGATAGACTCTCACTTAATCCTCACAAGCTTATGAGGTAGGCGCTACCATCATTCGCCGTTTTACAGAGGAGGACGCTGAGGCACAGAGTGATTGAGAAACTTGTCGAAGGCACTGCAGCTGGCAAGTGGTGACGTGGCATTTGAATCCAGGCATCCGGATGGTGTGGATGCCGTGGAAGAGAAAGGGGCGGGTGGGACTGCTTCCTGAGGAGATAGTGACTGCCGAGGCAGCAGCGTAGGGAAGACAACTGAAGAACACGAGCTGTGGAGACAGACCATCGCATTCGGAGTGGAGAGATGGGTGTACAGACAGACAATAACCAGACTATATATAAAAAGAGAACTCTAGGTCAGGCGCGGTGGCTCACACCTGTAATCTTAGCACTTTGGGAGGCTGAGGCGGGTGGATCACTTGAGGTCAGGCGTTGGAGACCAGGAGTTCAAAACCCCGTCTCTACTAAAAATTTAAAAATTAGCCGGGCATGGTGGTGGGCGCCTGTAGTCCCAGCTTCTCGGGAGGCTGAGGCACGAGAATCGATTGAACCCGGGAAGCGGAGGTTGCAGTGAGCCGAGATCGCACCACTGCACTCCAGCCTGGGTGACGAGAGCGAAAAACTCCGTCTCAAAAATAAAATAAATTACTGATAATAGTACTAATACCCCTTAAGTGGCTATTGATAATAATAGTACCATGGGTGGGGGGGCAACTTCTCTGAGAGTGCTCTGTAAGTATGTATTGAAGATTGAGTAAATACATTTAAAATTCTTAGAACAGTATGTGGCACATAGCGTTCCAGAATGCCACATTATTGTTAGTGACAGAAATAATCTCGGCTGGGCGCGGTGGCTCACGCCTGTAATCCCAGCACTTTGGGGGGGCCACGGCGGGAGGCTCTCTCGAGGCCGGGAGTTCAAGACCAGCCTGGGCAACATGGCAAGACGCCGACTGTTAAAAAAAAAAAAATGCTACCCGGGCGTCGTGGCGTGTGCCTGTAATCCCAGCTACTGGGGAGGAGGTGGGAGGATCGCTCGAGCCCGAGAGGTTGGTCGGGGCCTCAGTGAGCCGAAATCACGCCACTGCACTCCAGCCTGGGCGACGGAGCGAGACCCTGTCTCAGAAAGAAAAAGAAAAACCACCGTCCAGGGGCGGAGAAGGAAGGTTCTCCCTACTTCTCAGGTTTCCACTCCCTGGCCGGAAAAAACCTAGTCCTCCCAGGTTAGCACGCCGCTCTAGCCCAGCCTCACGTCTCCACTGCTTCTCAGCCAGCCAACGCCTCTTCTGATTGGCTCTGACGTGCGTGGTGCGTGAAAACGTCACGAGACGCCGGCGTTACTATAAGAGCGCAGCCGTGGCGCTTGCGCGCCTCTTTCTCAGTGACCGGGTGGTTTGCTTAGGTGAGGTGCGGCGGTGTGCTTTTTCTCTAGGGTTTGGGTTGGATGGTGGCCCGGGCCTTCCGAGTTTCCATGAGTAAGCTAAAGACGTTAGGAAACAGAGCAGGGTGGTTGAACGGGAGTGCAGCACGGTTGTGGGGGCAGATACTGACTATGAGAGCGTTGGAGGTTATTCTCGCGAGATCGGATCTGGGCTCCGCGAGGTTTTGGCGTAGTTGTGGGACTGCGCAGGCGCCGTTTGGAGCCCTTACGCTCACACTTCTCTCCCGCGCAGGCGCAGACGGGGAAGCGGAGCCAACATGCCAGTGGCCCGGAGCTGGGTTTGTCGCAAAACTTATGTGACCCCGCGGAGACCCTTCGAGAAATCTCGTCTCGACCAAGAGCTGAAGCTGATCGGTGAGTGGCCAAGGCTTCCGGGAAGTGGTTCGGCTTCCGGGAGGCGGTTAGCACGTGGATGAAGGTGCCCATGTACTCTATCTAGTCCGTCCCCTAAATTTGGTACTATTCGTGGTTTAGGAAGGTTTTGTGATTCCAAAGCTGCCAGTCTAGTTGTTGTGCCAGTACGTGGGACTACACTTGTCCACCCCCTTCTCCCCACCAGGCGAGTATGGGCTCCGGAACAAACGTGAGGTCTGGAGGGTCAAATTTACCCTGGCCAAGATCCGCAAGGCCGCCCGGGAACTGCTGACGCTTGATGAGAAGGACCCACGGCGTCTGTTCGAAGGTGCGTATGGGAGTCCACAGCAGAGGGATGGGGTGCAGGGCTTGTGAGGTTCATTCTCCCTTCTGTTGCCTCTGTTCCAGTGATGAGAGTTGTGTCATTGGATAAATGGAACCAGCCTTCTAACTTTTAGTGGCACTTGTGAAGTAGGAAAAGTGTATCTGGATCAGTCTTTGCCCTGTTTCTTAGGTGTGTGGCTTTTTTGCCCAGTTATTGGACCTTCAGTTTAGTAATGACCAGAGCTAAAGATAGGCCTGGCACACCTGGGCACCCGTCTATATCTTTATATTCTGTTTATGTGGCCTGTTTGCTAGTGGATGAGAGTAGACTATGAAGTGGAATTTCTGGGCTAAGTGATGGTGATAACAGGGTTTGCACATTTGCTTGGTTTATTGTTTTTTTAATTAAGTTTTCTCGTTTTATTTAGTCTTTTGAGACGGAGTCTTGCTCTGTTGCCCAGGCTGGAGTGCCGTGGCGCCATTTCGGCTTACTGCAACCCCCGCCTCCTGGGTTCAAACAATTCTCCTATCTTAGCCTCCCAAGTAGCTGGGACTACAGACAGGCGCACGCCACCACACCTGGCTAATTTTACTTTTGAGACGGAGTCTCGCTCCATTGCCCATGCTGGAGTGTAGTTGTCGCAATCTTGGCTCACTGCAAACTCCGCCTCCAGAGTTCAAGCGATTCTCCTGTCTTAGCCTCCTAAGTAGCTGGAATCACAGGCATGGGCCACCAAGCCTGGCTAATTTTCTATTATTAGTGGAGATGGGTTTTCACCATGTTGTCCAGGCTGGTGCTTGTTTTTTTAAGCTGGTCAAGGACATTTAGGTGGTATTTAGCAAAGGCCTGAACAGGAGAGAACCTGTAAAATGTCTCAGGGAACAGCATTTCAGGTGATGACTTTAGGAGGGCATGCAGATCACATAGACTTAGGCTTACTTTACTAATTGTGGTGAAATACACATTAAATTGAAAATGTACCATCTTAACCATCTTGTTTTAAAATCTACTCTGAGATGCGGTGTTATTGGAGTGCTTTCTACAGCAGATTGGCATGACCAAGATTGGCATTTGTATATCCTGAGACGCTGCTTTTGCCTGAGTTTGGGTAGTCATGATTTATGGTGAAAAGCAGTCTCTACACCTGAGCCCTGACTGTTAGGCATGAGAGTGGTCATCCATGTTAGGCGTTGAGAAAGTCCTGGCGCATGTTTAGCTACAGATTATCACAGTTTGTCCCAGGCTTGCAGATGTTAGAAGCTTTTTCTTTAAATAGGCACAGGATCTTGCAGTGTTGACCAGGATGGTTTCCAACTCCTAACCTCAAGTGATCCATCCACCTCAGCTTTCCAAAGTGCTGGGGTTACAGGTGTAAGCCACCGCACCTGACCCTTTCATTCTTTTCGTCAATTTGTAGACCCCGTTGATAATCTCATGAAAGTGCTGGAGATCCCTCCCCCATAGATACTGATGCTGGGTGGGAATTCATCCCAGGGTTCTGTGGGGAGTGGGCTATAGCTGGTTCTGGTTTTAGGGAGGACTTTCTGGACATAGATCCTAATTGCAATGAAACTTACAGTCATGTGAGAAAGCGGTGCAGGTGTCTGAGGGTTATTTGTGGTTTTCCAAGGCAGAAGTGAAAATTCCCAAGGGGTACACAGTTGTTCAGGTGAGTACACTTTCTAGTAAATGAAGCCATCTAGCCTAGTCAGGGACAGGAAGGAGGAGCTTGGATGTTTGCTCTTTGGTGTAATCCTGCCTTGATTCAGATCCAGCCTTTCCCACTAAGATGTGTGACTAGCGAGATTCTGAGTCTCGTCTGTTAAGACTGAACAGCCGCCAACATTTGGCTGGCAGTTAATAATCAACAGATAGAGGCCAGGCGTGGTGGCTCATGCCTGTAATCCCAGCACTTTGGGAGACCGAGGTGGTCGGATCACTTGAGGTCAGGAGACCTCAAGTCAGAGACCAGCCTGGCCAACGTGGTGAAATTCCATCTCTACGAAAAATACAAAAATTAGCCGAGCATGGTGGTGTGCCTATAATCCCAGCTACTCGGGAGGCTGAGGCAGGAGAATTGATTGAACCTGGGAGACAGAGACTGCAGTGAGCCGAGATCCGCGGCACTGCACTGGGTGACAGCGAGACACAAAACAACACGAACTCCCCCCCCACCCCCCAGCACAACTGTGAAGAAATGTAGGAGTCATGTCCATTTTTCAGATCAGAAATGAAGGCATTGTAATACCTAACTGCCTTGTATGATGACAAGGACCTGTTTCCCACTGAGGTCCTCCCTGGTTTGCATTTTTAAAGCATTTTAAATTCTCTTGGTGCATTGGCCCAGTGGAGCCTCAGCAGTAGGACATGCTTTTGTTGAAGGTGTAAGGTTTATTGTGCTGTTGAAAACTATTGTCTTCATACTTAAAGGTTTTGCCTGTGGCTGACTCTCCTGTTCTTTTTCAGGAGATAGATGGTTCAATAAATGTGGGCCTGAGTGCAGTGGCTCATGCCTGTAATCCCAGCACTTTGGGAGGCAGAGGCAGGCGGATCACCCGAGGTCGGGAGTTTGAGACTAGCCTGACCAAAGTGGAGAAACCCCTTAGTCTCTACTGAAAAAATACAAAATTAGCGGGGCGTGGTGGCGCATGCCTGTAATCCCAGGCTGAGGCAGGAGAATCCCAGGAGGCGGAGTTTGCAGTGAGCCGAGATCACGCCATTGCACTCCAGCCTGGGCAACGAGAGCGAAACTCTGTCTCAAAAATGATAATAAATGTGAAACATTTTTTTAAAATCATGCCTTTGTTTTGCCTAATGGTGACGATCTCACTTTGTCTCCCGGGCTGGAGCACAGTGGCATGGTCGTGGCTCACTGCAGCCTGGACCTCCTGTGCTTAAGTGATCCTCCTCAGCTCTAGTAGCTGGGACCACAATCCACCATGTACCACCATGCCCAGCTAATTTAGTTTTACTTTTTTGTTTGTTTTGGTACAAATGCGGTCTCACTGTGTTGCCGAGGCTAGTTTCAAACTTCTGGACTCAACTGATCCTCCTGCCTCAGCCTCCCAAAATATTGGGTTTATAGGCCAGGCATAAGGGACTGTGCGTGGCTTAAGTTTCCATTTTCTAATGTAAAGACAAAAAGGCGTGAAGTGTCCAAAGAGGTAAATGATCCCAAACTCATTTTCATTGCCTTTTGGACATGTTTTTGTATTTTGATATTCAGGTGTTTAAATATCCTCTGATGTTGAGTTAAAAAAGAACAAAAATTGAAGCCATAGTATGACATAGGATGCTGGAAATGCACACAGCTGGTGTTTCCATTTTGATTCTCCCTACCTGTAACTGCTCCCTACTGGGAAAACTTTGGGTCCTCACAAAGTGAGCTAGCTTTCTTTCAAACTTTGCTTGGAGGGTAACAGTGCCAGGAATATCAGAAGTGCCTGATGCATGTAGATCTATTTATGAAAGCTTGCTTGAATGGTTTGCTGTAACTAGTAAGAGCCACTTTTTATAAAAGTGCACATAAGGAAAAAAGGTTGAGGTGTTTACCCCAGTCAAGGGGCAGTTGATTTGCTGAAGGCGTGTGGGATTATAGCAGTGAGCGGGAGCCTAGGGGATGGCGTTTGCCCCCAGGGCCCTGGGGCTGTGGGCAAGGGCAGTCCAGAGTATTAGCTAGAAGCCATGGCTTTGGACAGGGTAAGGAGCAAGCCGTCCTGAGCCTGGGGTTGGAAGAAAGGTGTAGTAGGGCATCTGTTGGATATTTTATGCAGTGCATTGTTAGGTTATATACATACTAGATCTATTTTTGGTGGAAAATTTTGTACAGAATAGTAAAATGAATGACATGTACTTAGCTGGAAAAATTCTAGTGTTAGAAATTACTTTTCTCTCCTTAAAAGATGTAGATACTGCTATTTATGGCACGGAATGTGATTCAATCTCACATCTGCTTAATCAGAAGAGCTTTCTGGGCTGAGGATATGAACTCTTCAGCACTGTGCTTTGTTACGGTGGTAGTAGCTTAATAGCAGCTGCATTTGGTCTTTTGCAGACTGAGTCCTTGTAAGGAGGTGATTTCCTTTACTCTTGCTAAGAATGTGGAGCGAGGGATGTATGCTCTCAGATGAGGAGGCAGGTGTATTTTGCCCTCCTGTCATCTGCAGTTTACTATGAATGATGACCTGACAACCATAGGGTAGTTTGGTTTTTTGTATTGTTTTGTTTTGTGACAGGGCCTCACTCTGTCGCCCAGGCTGGAGTGCAGTGGCCCCATCTCAGGTCACTGCAACCTCCGCCTCCTGGGTTCAAGCAGTTTTCCTTCCTCAGCCTCCTGAATAGCTGGGATTACAGGCAGTGCGCCAACGGCCTGGCTAATTTTTCGTAATCTTAGTGGAGACGGGCTTTCGCCATGTTGGCCGGGCTGGTCTCTCAAACTCCTGACCTCAAGTGATCCGTCTCGGACTCCCGAAGTGCTGGGATTACAGGTGTGAGCCACCACTCCCAGCCCGTAGGGTGGTTTTGACAGTGACATGGGTCACGGTGATGGCGCTGTACTACTTGTGCCTCACCGCCGCGGCATGGAGCTACCAAGAGGCGGAGCCAGGATTTGAACCCAAGAAGCCTGAGGTCAGAAGGCGGAATCAGTGTTTCCTCCCACTCTTCCCAGGCAACGCCCTGCTGCGGCGGCTGGTCCGCATTGGGGTGCTGGATGAGGGCAAGATGAAGCTGGATTACATCCTGGGCCTGAAGATAGAGGATTTCTTAGAGAGACGCCTGCAGACCCAGGTCTTCAAGCTGGGCTTGGCCAAGTCCATCCACCACGCTCGCGTGCTGATCCGCCAGCGCCATATCAGGTACCACCTCGGATGGGCACCTGAATCTTCCTCCACCTGCCCCTCTGATGGTTGCCCTCACTAAGCCTGCTGTCCCTATCTCCTATGCAGCCCTCGGAGGTGATGGGTGTGAACTCACCCAGAGGGTACAGATTCACCCTTGCACACAGCTCACCAGGGAGCTGGGGCAGCCTCTTGCCCCAATAGCCCAGCGCAAGGGTCACTGCGGCTCTAGCCGTACACCTTGTGAAGGCCTCTGCCAGGCATGTGGGCAGCTGGACAGGTAACAGCTCTTGGTGTCCCCAGTGGAGGGAGAGAACCAGCCTCACCTCGCTTGGGTGGTGGGTTCAGCTGTCTCCTGGCTCGCTTGTGAAGTTGATTCCAGACCCCGATCCATGACTGCGTTCTGGGTACTCAGTGTGCCCTTTCTGTAATGTGGCACCATTGAGGGGGAGGAGCTGTACAGAAAGAGGGCAAGATGTTTGCGTTTAGAATCTTCGCCCCAGCCCTTCACTAACCCTGTGAGCCGTAGGCAGAGCCTTGTGTGTCAATGCTTTCGTCGGAGACGTAGCCTCGGGTTGCTGTGTTATTGTGGGCATTGCTGCTGCACGTGGTAATACAGCTCAGTGTCAGGTGTGGGGTTCACGATATTTCAGACTCGGAACTTGGGGGCTCTCACATGGCCATCTCATTTGCTTTGTGGTCTTAGGTGGGATACTTTCAGATTTCTCCTATAAAATGGGGTTGAGAAAGTCATCTGAAGCATTTTTGGGGATTAAGGTGATACCCTAAAACCCCGGAGGGCGCACGTAGGATCAGGTGCACCCTTCCTGCAGCGCCTTGGTGTCTGCAGCCGTGGCGGCCTCACGGGGTGGGTGGAGAGGAAAGAGTGGTGCGGTAGCTGGGGTTAGCGTCCGTTTCTCCTCCAGTCCACCTCACCTTGTCGCTTCTTCCAGGGTCCGCAAGCAGGTGGTGAACATCCCGTCCTTCATTGTCCGCCTGGATTCCCAGAAGCACATCGACTTCTCTCTGCGCTCTCCCTACGGGGGTGGCCGCCCGGGCCGCGTGAAGAGGAAGAATGCCAAGAAGGGCCAGGGTGGGGCTGGGGCTGGAGACGACGAGGAGGAGGATTAAGTCCACCTGTCCCTCCTGGGCTGCTGGATTGTCTCGTTTTCCTGCCAAATAAACAGGATCAGCGCTTTACAATTGGTGTGTGGGGGTCTCTCATCCTTGACTCTTTCCCCTGCTCTAAACATGCAGCCTTCCCTGGGAGGCTCACTCACTTGGGAGTGCCTACCAGCTAGTGGTCCCTGGCCTCTCAGTACTATTCTACAGTAGTGAACACACATCTTTACCAGAAACTTCTGTCATCAGGGGAGAGACGAGTGGTATTTTTGGAAAAACTGTGTCAAAACCAGAAGGAAATTCCAAGTAAGCCGGTGTTTGCATATAGGGGTGGGAGGGAGCCGGTCATTGCTAGGCAGGGCAGGCGCCGAGTGGAGGTGGGGGCCTTCCCTGCCTGCTGGCCCTGGGACCCTGACCCCGCCAGGCAAGAGACAGGTGGGACGGGAGCTGACCAGAGGCTGACGGGTTGCTGGGGAAGGTGAACTGTTGGTGATTGTTGGGGAACACTTCACAGAATTTGCTTGCTAGTTTCAAAGCTTGTGATGCGGTTGATGTTGGGCAAGTTCCCAGTTTTGTCTTCACATGTAGGGGAAGTGGGTTAGCGTAGGAGAAGGGGCGTTGAGGGAAGTCTGTTCCTCCTCTCCGCGTTCAGTGCTTCTGTGGACTCACGGTCAAGAGGTTGGCAGGCTTCCCTTTTCTCAGCCTTGTTGATCATCTGTGTTGGGAAGGGGTTTGGTTTCTGAGGAAGTGAGAAACCTGAAATTGTGCAACCCCCTCAGGCTGCAGGCTGTAGTTGATTGGGTCCTTATCTGGAGGCCTTCAGGGTTTGAGGTCAGGGCAGGGACAGTTCTGGAACACAGCTAAGTTACTGTAAACCACGTGGAGAAGTCCATTGCGGCTTACTCAAGCTAGGTGGTTGGCCCTTCCTTCCCTCAGCGTTGCTACTTGGGAAATGACGGTGGTCTTGTGTCCATGGGGCCAGCTGCTGCACCATCTGGGCTCACTGTGGTCTCCTTCCTTGGAGCGTGGGGTCTGGGCTAGTGGATGGCCGGGGCAGCGTACTCACTGGGCTCCTGGGAGCTCCCCTGGGAGGAAGAGACTGCAGTTGTCTCTGGTCTGAGAGGTGGTGGCTCACCTGGGTGTAGCTCACAATTGCGGAGCTCCACGGCAGCCTGGAGGGAGGGGAGAGTGGGAGTTGAGGTATGCGGTTCTGGGGAGAAGCCTACGGGCTTGGAAAGGAAAAGGGTCTTCAGGGCTCTGTCTACAGAGGCAGCGAGCGGGGCAACAGAGGGAGACTCCATCTCAAGAATTTGTAGAGATGGAGTCTCAATGTGTTGCCCCGGCTGATCTAAAACCCTTGGCCTCAAGCAATCCACTCGCCTCCCAAAGCGCTAGGATGACAGGTGTGAGCCACAGTGCCTGGCCTGCGTGGGTCTGTTTAATCTCCGGGCCTCTTGCTCTCCCTTTCTTGGTGATCTCCTTGGACCACATCCCTGTATCATTCTCTCTCTCGACCCTGAGCCCAGGGTCCAGAGCAGAGAACGGGATGGGGTCTGGGTAGGGGCCCCTCACTTGCAACCAGGATGTTGGGTGGGGGCGACGGGGGACCGACCTTGGGCAGGAGGCATTGTGTCCACCGCAGCATCTGTGCTGGCCCCCAGGGGGGTGGCTCGCATGGCCCAGGGGGACGTCCAGGAGGTGCTGCCCATCTAGGCGCTGGCGGGCTGGGAGCCCCTTGTCCTGGTCAATGCAGAGCTGTCAAAACCGGCCTCTGAGTGATGCTGAGGGGTCAGGCTGTCTCCAGAGAGCACCGGCGATCCCGGCTGTGCTGAGAGGGAGGGCTGAGGGCTGCCTGGACGCCCCTGAGATGAGGCGACTGGTATTTAGGGGATGCGTACTCTCTGGGGCCCGCTGGGGCCTGCAGGGAGAGCTCTCACCGGTCTCAACTCCATGCCTTCTGCCTTGTGCTTCTGGCCCAAGAGGTCGGGGTCACTGACCACCCCGTGTCCACCTAAGGCTTCCCTGGACACACAGCAGGGAGATGGGCAATGAGGGTGGGGGTTGTGGCCCTGCCTGTCACGGTCCCCAGCAGTGCAGATGAATTAGACCATTGAGCCACAGAGCCTGGAGGGCAGATGGGTGTGCTGGTATAAGGAGCCCCGGGCTCTGTGTTACAGGTCATGTGTTCTCACCAGTGGCCTTGCAGGAGGGGAACAGCCCCTTCCCCAGGGCCTCGCTCTGCTCCCCCTGAAGGATGGGGCTGAGGGGACAGCAGGCTCTGGGGGCCTTTCAGACCACATTTGAGTCAAAATTTGACTTCCCCATACTCTGCCTGCTTCCACCTCACCCAACTCTCATCCAGGGGTGACCCTTGTTCTAGCACATGAGGCTGAGGCCAGAGAGGGCAGGGCCTTAGGACACAGCCCAGTCACTGTTCTAATTCTAGAGGCAAGCCCCTTCCATGTCCTGAGCTCTGTAATGCATCTTTTCTTTCATGAGCCTTGCGATCAGGCGATGTTTATTCAGTGGTTACCACATCCAGGCATGCTGCCAGGAGGAGGGGAGTCGTGGGTGAAGCTGATAGGATTCCTGCTGGACTCACAGAGCCTGGGTTAATGACACATTACCCATGTTTAGATAGGAGGTAATTCTGCTCCGGTTTCGACAAGTTGTAGGAAAGGAGGAAAACATGCTCATAGCAGGTGAGCAGCGTACACCTGTCATGGGAGTGAGGGGTCCTTCTGGGGGATGGAGAGACCAAGACGTGAACAGTGAGTGTGGCACGCAGAGTGTCCTCCACCAGAAACAGTGTGGGCTGTTCTCAGACCTGAGAGTGAGCCAAAGGAAGCTGGGACCTTGTCATTCAGGGGACTTGTGCACCGTGAAGATTTATTGGATGCTATGTTTAAGAAAATGGAAAATCCGGCCCGGCACGGTGGTTTGCACCTGTAATCCCAGCACTTTGGGAGGCGGAGGTGGGTGGATTATGAGGTCAGGAGTTCGAGACCAGCCTGGCCAACATGGTGAAACCCCGTCTCTACTAAAGACACAAAAAATCAGCCAGGTGTGGTGGTGGACGCCTGTAATCCCAGCTACTCGGGAGGCTGAGGCAGGAGAATCACTTGAACCCGGGAGGTGGAGGTTGCAGTGAGCCGAGATTGCGCCACAGCACTCCAGCCTAGGTGACAGAGTGAGACTCCATCTCAAAAAAAAAAAAAAAAAAACCGGGGAATCTTTAGAAAGCACAGTGGAAACAGATGTCTGTTTTTACAAGCCCATCACTGCACAGAATGCAATATGGGAGGGTTTCACTAATGGTTAACCATAACCACACTCCAGCGTGAGCCCAGCCACTAGGCAATGTGCTGATAAGGATTCTAAGTGGTTTATGTGGACTCCTCATGACCTATGACACACATACGTTTACAGTGGAGTGGAACGAGGCAGGAGGGCTTCTCTTTGTCATAGTCTACCAGCTCTGCAGAGGTGTCAGCTACATCCGGATTGGCTCAGGGAGCGGCCGTCAGAAGACTTACACGTGTTTAATAACTGAGGTTGTGTGTGTGTGGCAGGGGGTGGGTAACTGTGATGAGTTTGGTGTGGCAGAGGGGGAGCCATAGCCTGTGAAGCTGGAAAGTGTATCAGGTTTGGTCATCAACAGGCTTGAACATGAAGTACAGGAACGTGCATCTTATTTTTGGAAGATGGAGCCCCGTTGGGGGAATTTGAGCAGTGGAGGGTCACAGCCAGGTAAGATGGTCAGAAGAGGCCTCGGAAGTGATGAGAGGGATGGACTGGAGTAGGGATGGGAGCCAGTAGGGGGCCAGGAGGGAGGTTGGTGCAGTGCACAGACAGGGCGTCCTCGGTCCCCAGCTGAGCTTAGACTGTGGGGATGGACCAGCGGACACGGGTGGAGCCGGGTGAGGAGGGATGTGGGCAGAGAGGTTTGGATTTGTTCACTGTGTGTGAAGCAGAAGAGTGTGAGGAGCTTTTCCACTCTCTGCCTTGGTTGATGGGAGGAACCAGTGGGGCTGCCGCAGGACAGACGACCCGCGTGGGAGAAGGAGGCTCGGGGAGATGTTTCTAAGACTTAACTTGCTCACAGAGGGAAGCACAAGCTTCCTTCGAGCCTGGGCTTTGTTTTCCCAAACAGGTCCCTTCACTGACTTTCTTTTTTGAGACGGAGTCTCGCTCTGTCGCCCAGGCTGGAGTGCAGTGGCGCGATCTCGGCTCACTGCAAGCTCCGCCTCCCGGGTTCACGCCATTCTCCTGCCTCAGCCTCCCGAGTAGCTGGGACTACAGGCGCCCGCCACCACGCCCGGCTAATCTTTTGTATTTTTAGTAGAGACGGGGTTTCACCGTGCTAGCCAGGATGGTCTCGATCTCCTGACCTCGTGATCCACCCGCCTCGGCCTCCCAAAGTGCTGGGATTACAGGCGTGAGCCATCGCGCCCAGCCAACTTTCCTGTTAATGAGTAGCACTCTTTTTTTCTTTCTTTTCTTTCCCCCTTTTTTTTTTTTTTTAGACATGGTCTTGCTCTGTTTCCCAGGCTGGAGTGCAGTGGCGTGACCCCAGCTCACTACAACCTCCACCTCCTGGGTTCAGGTGATTGTCCTGCTTCAGCCTCCCAAGTAGCTGGATTACAGGCACGTGCAACCACGCCTGGCTAATTTTTGTATTTTTAGTAGAGACAGAGTTTCACCATGTTGGCCAGGCTATTCTCGAACTCCTGACCTTAAATCATCCTCTTGCCTTGGCCCCCCAAAGTGTTAGGATTACAGGCATGAGCCATCATGCTCGGCCTCTTTTTTCTTTTTCTTTTTTTTTTTTTTTGTTTTTGAGACAGAGTCTTGCTCTGTCACCCAGGCTGGAGTGCAGTGGCGTGATCTCAGCTCACTGCAGCCTCCACCTCCCAGGTGCCAGCGATTCTCCTGCCTCAATCTCCCAGTTAGCTGGGATTACAGATGCGCGCCACCATATCCAGCTAAATTTTGTATTTTTTAGTAAAGACAGAGTTTTACCATGTTGGCCAGGCTGGTCTTGAACTCCTGACCTCAGGTGATCCGCCCGCTTCAGCCTCCCAAAGTGTTGGGATTACGGGCATGAGCCACCATGCTCGGCCTCTTTTTTCTTTGCTTAAAAGATGAGGCCTGTTGCCCAGGCTGGAGTGCAGTGGCACTATCATAGCTCACTGCAGCCTTGACATCGTGGCTCAGGTGATCCTCCCGCCTCAGGCTCCCGAGTGGCTGGGACTACAGACGTGCACCTCCACAGCCACTACTTATTTTTGTAGCGATGTCTATCAGCTGGTGAATAGAGAAAGTGTGGTATATCCTTACAACAAAATATTATTCAACCGTAGAAAGGAATGAAGTACTCATACATGCTACATGTGTGAACCTTGATAATATACTAGATAAAAGCAGTCAGGAAAAAAAGGTCACATATGACGTTATTTCATTTATAAGAAGTATCCAGCCTGGGTGTGGTGGCTCATTGCCTGTAATCCAGCACTTTGGGAGGCCAAGGCAGGTGGATTGCCTGAGTTTAGGAGTTTGAGACCAGCCTGGGCAACATGGTGAAATACCATCTCTACCAAAAATACAAAAAATTCACCCGGCATGGTGGCATGTGCCTGTGATCCCAGCTACTTGGGAGGCTCAGGTGGCAGGATCGCTTGAGCCTGGGAGGCAGAGGTTACAGTGAGCCGAGATCACACCACTGCACTCCAACCTGGGTGACAGAGTGAGTCCCTGTCTCAAAAAAAAAAAAAAAAGGTATTCAAAGAAGGCCAATCGATAGAGGCAGAAAGTAGGTTAATTGTTGCATGGGATTAGGTGGGAGTGATTGCTTGATGTAAACTCGGTTTCCTTCTCGGTATGATAAAAATGTTTCGGAATGAGATAGAGGTGATGCTTACACCATATTGTGAATTTACTAAATGCCACAAAATAGAGTTGTATCTCAATAAAAATATATTTGTTGGGCCGGGTGCGGTGGCTCACGCCTATAATCCCAGCACTTTGGGAGGCAGGCAGATCAAGAGGTCAGGAGTTCAAGACCAGCCTGGCAAAACCCTGTCTCTACTAAAAATATAAAACTTAGCCAGGCGTGGTGGCATGTGTCTGTAATCCCAGCTACTCGGGAGGCTGAGGTAGAATGGAGCGAGACTCCGTCTCAAAAAAAAATATATATATATGTAAATATATATATGTTGGGCATAGTGGTGCACACATGTAGTCCCAGCTACTTGGGAGGCTGAGGCAGGAGAACCACTTGAACCTGGGAAGCGGAGGTTGCAGTGAGCCGAGACTGCACCATTGCACTCCTGCCTGGGCAAAAAGAGTGAAACTCCATCTCGAAAAAAAAAAAAACCACACACACACACGTAGATAAAATCAAATATTCTGTATTCCATAAATATGTACAATTATTATTTTTCAATTAAAAACTCTTAAGCTGGGCACAGTGGCTCATGCCTGTAATCCCAACACTTTGGGAGGCGGAGATGGGAGGCTCTTGAGCCCACAAGTTTGAGGCCAGTTTGGGCAACATCGTGAGATCCCATTGCTACAAAAAAATTTAAAATATATTTTTAAAAAACTCTAATACAGTAGTCCCCCTTTATCTGTAATTTTCTTTCTGTGTTTTCAGTTACCTGGTGGTCAACCATGGTCCAAAAATATTAAATAGAAAAGTTAAGGAATCATAAGTTTTTTTTTTTTTTTTTTATTGATCATTCTTGGGTGTTTCTCGCAGAGGGGGATTTGGCAGGGTCATAGGACAACGGTGGAGGGAAGGTCAGCAGATAAACAAGTGAACAAAGGTCTCTGGTTTTCCTAGGCAGAGGACCCTGCAGCCTTCCGCAGTGTTTGTGTCACTGGGTACTTGAGATTAGGGAGTGGTGATGACTCTTAACGAGCATGCTGCCTTCAAGCATCTGTTCAACAAAGCACATCTTGCACCGCCCTTAATCCATTTAACCCTGAGTGGACACAGCACATGTTTCAGAGAGCACAGGGTTGGGGGTAAGGTCACAGATCAACAGGATCCCAAGGCAGAAGAATTTTTCTTAGTACAGAACAAAATGAAAAGTCTCCCATGTCTACCTCTTTCTACACAGACACCGCAACCATCCGATTTCTCAATCTTTTCCCCACCTTTCCCCGCTTTCTATTCCACAAAACCGCCATTGTCATCATGGCCCGTTCTCAATGAGCTGTTGGGTACACCTCCCAGACGGGGTGGCGGCCGGGCAGAGGGGCTCCTCACTTCCCAGTAGGGGCGGCCGGGCAGAGGCGCCCCTCACCTCCCGGATGGGGCGGCTGGCCTGGCGGGGGGCTGACCCCCCCACCTCCCTCCCGGACGGGGCGGCTGGCCGGGCGAGGGGGGAATCATAAGTTTTTAACAAATCAAAATATTTCTAAAAACCTAGAGTAGGCAGGAAAGGGGAAACAACACACAGCAGAGGAGACAAACAAAAAGGCACACCTGAACACAGTCATGCACCGCATAACGATGTTTCGCTCCACTACACATTTCATATGTGATGGTATAGCCTATGTATGTAGTAGGTTATACCACGTAGGTTTGTGTAAGTAGACTCTATGATGTTCACACGACGGTGAATTTTTTTTTTTCTTTTTTTTGAGATGGAGTCTCATTCTGTCTCCCAGGCTGGAGTGAAATGGCACGATTTTGGCTCACTGCAACCTCCGCCTCCCAGG
Organism: Homo sapiens; assembly: GCF_000001405.40. Lineage (NCBI taxonomy): Eukaryota > Metazoa > Chordata > Mammalia > Primates > Hominidae > Homo > Homo sapiens. The sequence continues at coordinate 190,277 of NW_003571057.2, forward strand.
TTCAAGCGATTCTCCTGCCTCAGCTTCCCAAGTAGCTGGGATTACAGGCATGCACCACGATGCCCGGCTAATTTTTGTATTTTTAGTAGAGACAGGGTTTCACCATGTTGAGCAGGCTGGTCTCGAATTCCCGACCTCTGGTGATCCACCCATCTTGGCCTCCCAAAGTTCTGGGATTACAGGCATGAGCCACCACGCCTGGCCAAAATTTTTTAATGATGGCTTTCTCAGAACATATCCCTGTCATTAAGTGACATACGGTTGTAATGTCATCAGTGATTACATTAAATATAAGTGATCAAAAAGAGATTACAAGATTGGAATTTTTTTTTTTTGAGACAGAGTCTTGCTCTGTTGCCCAGGCTGTAGTGCAGTGGTGTGATCTCGGTTCACTGCAACCACTGCCTCCTGGGTTCAAGCAGTTCTCTGCCTCAGCCTCCCTAGTAGCTGGGATTACAGGTGCCTGCCACCACACCTGGCCAGTTTTTGTATTTTTAGTAGAGATGGGGTTTCACCATCTTGGCCAGGCTAGTCTTGAACTCCTGACCTTGTGATCCACCCGCCTTGGCCTCCCAAAGTGCTGGGATTACAGGCATGAACCCCCGCGCCTGGCCTGTTGTTTATATTTTATCACATTAAAAAAGCAGAAGGATGAAAAATGTATTATGCAAACACTAATCAACAGATAATTTCACTGGCTTGTTAGTTGTTTTGTTTTTTTGAGACAGGGTCTCGTCCAGGCTGAAGTGCTGTGGTGCGATCTCGGCTCATTGCAGCCTCGACCTCCTGTACCCAAGTGATCCTCCCACCTCAGCCTCTCAAGTAGCTGGGACTACAGGTGTGTGCCACCACGCCGGACTGGTTTTATTTTTTGTAGAGATGGGGCCTCACAATGCTGATCTGACTGACTCGAACTCCTGAGCTCAAGCTATCCTCCCCACTTGCCCTCCCAAAGTATTGGGATTACAGGTGTGAGCCACTGCACCTGGTTATGCTTCTTTTTTATTTTTTTTCTTTCTTTTTTTTTTTTTTTCGAGACGGAATCTCACTCTGTCGCCCAGGCTGGAGTGCAGTGGTGCGATCTCAGCTCACTGCAAGCTCTGCCTCCCGGGCTCATGCCATTCTCCTGCCTCAGCCTCCTGAGTAGCTGGGACTATAGGCACTCGCCACCACGCCCGGCTAATTTTTTTGTATTTTTAGTAGAGACGGGGTTTCACCGTGTTAGCCAGGATGGTCTCGATCTCCTGACCTCATGATCCGCCCGCATCAGCCTCCCAAAGTGCTGAGATTATAGGCGTGAGCCACCGCGCCCGGCCTATTTATGCTTCTTAATTTTCCCATGTCATAAGTTCGATGTATAATATTTACATTATCATTCAGTTTAAAACATTCACTGTTTTTTTTTTTAGAGACAAGGTCTCGCTCTGTCACACAGGCTGGAGTGCAGTGGCACAGTCATAGCTCACTGCAGCCTCAGCAGCCTTAACTTCTTGTGTTCAAGGAATCCTCCCCACTCAGCCTCCTGAGTACCACACCCGGCCTTTACGTCTGTTTTTGTTTTTTGTTTTTTTGTTATTAACTCATTGATTGTTGAGAAGTCTGTTGCTTTATTTCCAAAATGGGACGATATTAGTCATCTTTGAGTCAGGTGAGTCCCACAAGTTCCCAGCGTCTCCTCATGGTCTGTGTTAGGGGTCCAGGCTGACTGGGGTTCACTGGTGTCCACTGGGGGCAGCTCCCGTGCCTTCAGCAGTCCTGAGTCTCCTTCTGCTGAGTGTGGGGTCTGCGTACCCCCCGGGCTAGTGGATGGCCAGAGTGGCGTAGATGCTGGGCTCAGCTGGAGGTTCCCCTTCCTGGGATGGAGGAGGCTCAGTTGCCTTCCGTCTAAGGGTCAAGCTGTGCAGCTGGGCGTAGGTCACATCCTGGGAGGCTTCAGATGCAGCAGCCTGCAGCGGGGGAGAGTGAGAGGTAAGGAACGTGGTGGGGGTGGGGGAGGCCTGGGGGCCTGGAGAGGAAAGGACTCACCTCAGTGTCCATCTGCCTGTCCTCTTCCACCTGTCTGTCCTTTGTGTCCAGGAATTCCCCAGACAGTGAGGAGGGAGGAGAGGCCATTTCTCTCCTAGGACTGGAGTGTTTCACCGGGGCATACGTCACTGCCTGGGGGTCTTCATCGTGTGGGCTCTGCTGGAGAGAGACAGTGGTGGGGGGTGTCCTTGAGTCCCCCTGACCTCCTGGAGTCAATTTTCCTCACTGTTCCCGGGGTGATCCGATTACATCCCTTTCCTGATGGAATCTCAGGGACGCCCTAAGGCCGTGGAGGGTCTGGCCGCTCCCTCCCTGTGGTTCTGGCCTCTGCTCCTCACTCTGACCTTGCCCATTTGGCTGCAGCCTCACAGGCCTTCCTGCAAGAGCTCGCTGCTGCCTGGGGGCCTTTGCACGGCTGTTTCCTCTGCCTGCAGGGGCTCGTCTATCAGAGGATCATGTGCCCCACTCTGTCCAGGCTTCTCAGATGACAGCTGAGCAGACAGCCCTCCCCTTCCATTCAGACTGGCCCCACTGCCCCACACTCTCTGCCCTTTCCCTGGTGTATGTTCCTTACAGCACGTTGCACTCCTGGACACGATGCATTTATTTGCATTTTGTCTCCCACCATGAGGTGAGCTCAGGAGGCGGGGGCGGCTTTGCTCCCTGCTGTGTCTGCAGCTCCCATGGGGAGCCCCATCCACAGTGAGCTCCCTGGGAACACTCGCTGGATGAATGAATGAAGAGGAGCCCAGGGGACGGAGGTGGTTCATTTATTCGTCATCCTCCTGAGGCCTGGGGAGAGCTCTAACAACCAGACGGCCAAACAGAGGATGAGGAGCAGGAAGGGGACCCGGGAGGAGGCCCACGAGGTCCCAGGACAGCAGAAGAGAGTGAGGTCACAGCAGGCGGGAGGCAGCATGCTGGACAAGGAGGGGTCCACCGTGACGATGCTGAGAGCCGGGGGAAGGAGGACAGAGAAGTCCTGCAGGATTAGATCTGGCACCAGGAGGCCTTTGGTGCCTGGGACGGGGCGGGATCTCACCTGACTGTCCAGCTCCACCCTGTCCTCAGACTGTGTGTCCTTCACGGCAGCATCTGCTGGGGCAGAGCAAGGGGTTCGTCTCCTGGTTCTCTGAGACCTCTCAGTCCTGCTGGCCCCCTGCCCTGCTCCCAGATGGGGCCACCGAATGCAGGGAGGTCCCACAGTGTGGGGCAAGACCATCTTCCACGGAGCCCCAGACCCTTCCCAGCCCCTCCCTGTTGCTACTGAAATTTTGGGACTCCTGTCTCTCCAGCACCCCCATTTGTCCCCTCTCTTCCTCTTACAGAGGTTTTCTTCCTGGACGTCAGCAGCTGGGCTGGACCTGGAGGAGGACATGGGAGTGTGAGGGGCAGTGTATGGGCTGTGGTGGGTGGGAGTCTGTGGTCTTTGGGGCAGAATTACCTCCTCAGCAGGCCCCTGTCCTTGGGCTCTGTCTCCGCAGCCCCTGCAGGACGCTGGAAATCAGTCTTTCTCTGGTCTGGGTGAAGATGGACAGAGTCTCAGCCCTGGGAACATTAGAACTCCCATTCTACACATGCAACTTGAGGGAAAGAAGGAAAACTAAAAATATTCCTGCATGGATGTTCCAAATATTTTATGAGATAGAAAAAAACTCCCATGAATACTGAAGTTTGTAAATGCGTATTGAAATTACGTGCCCCTGGAACCGGTTTTCTAAACTGACACCCCTGTGTGTTTGGGTTCCCTCTGGCTGGTGCCCTGAGCCCACCCTCGGTCGACCCATGGGTCCCCCGCTTCCCTACTCACCAGATGTCCTGTGTTTGCTGTGACGCTGACGTCGGAGGAGGAGGAAGAGGAGGAGGAAGAGCAGCAGGACGAAGGCCACCGAGACCCCAATCAAAACCTCCAGGTATCTTCCCAGACCTTGACATGAGGACGTCAGGAGTGGGAATGATGTCATTGATGTGAGCACCTACTGTGTGCAGGCGCGAGCCAGGTCTTTCCTTCGTGACCTCCAACCCTCACAAGCAGTCGTGCAACATGGAATTGCCACCCGTACAACCCATTTCACAGATGCACAAACTGAGGCTCAGAGCAGGGAGTCGCCTGCCCCAGGCCTCCAGCGAGGAAGCGGCAGAGCTGGGAAGGGAGCCCGGGAGTCTGACCTGCAGCCCTTGTTCCTGCACCAGAGCCGAGACCCGGAGCTGCAGGGAAAGAGCCTGACCGTCCTGAACCACGGCCCTGCTCCCCTCCCCTGCCCCAGGTCACCGTCACTGCTGCAGGTGGGACGGGACAGGCCCCTGTGGAATCGGGTCTGGGAGGTTCCCTGGGAGGCCTCCTCTCCCAGGAGGTCACAGCTGGGGGTCAGAGCTGAAAGGAACTTTCCCACCCACAGGCCTCTCTCCTTTACACTTGGAGAAACTGAGGCCCAGGCAGGGGAGGGGCCTGTCCACATCACCACCTCCAGAGGAGCCTGAACCTAGGACAGAACCCACCCCTGCCTCCCCTGGACCCCGCCCATCTCCCACTCAGAGCCCCTCACTCACGATTCTGAGGGCCTGACCCTGGGGGGTTAAGGGGCTGGTCCTCAGGACCTCCTGGGTCAGGACAGGGAGGTGAAGGCTGGGGCTGTCTTGCCCCCCACATCAGCCCGGCTCCTCCTCCTGGCTGGGCCCCAACATCTCCCTCTGCCTCGACCCCCCACTCTTCACCAGCCCAGCCTCAGAGCCCCTGGGACACAAGCCCGTCCTTGAGGGGAGGGGAGTGGGATCCTTTGGGAGACTCAGACTGCCCTGGGGGAGGCGGCGCTCCCCACGAGGCCTCAGTGACTCACCAGGTGTGGAGGGCGGCCCTGTGGGTGGGAGGCTGGAGCCTCCAGAGTGTCCTGGAAGGAGCACGGGAGGCGGGTGAGGGGCGGGGGCCGTCCATGGAGTGCACCCTTCCACTCCCACTCTCCTGCTTCCGCCCAGTGGATTCCCTGGAACCATCTCTCTGCCCACCTGGTGCCTTCTGCATGCCAGGCAGGGGAGAACGGGTGGCCACGCCTAGGAGAACCCCTGTTGGCCTCCTCCCCTCTGAGGGCTGGGTGCCCTCTGGCTAAGCCTCCCTCACAGCCTCCCTCGGTCCATCCCAGCCGAGAGCTCTCCTGGGGGCCTGGGCCTGAGCTGAGCCTTTGAGCTCAGAGAGGACGGGGTCAGCGCCCTCACCTGAGACCACGAGCTCCAGGGGCTCACTGGGGTGAGACAGCAGGTGGGGGTTGGAGCTGTATGAGCCGTAGCACCTGTAGGTCCCCGCGTGGGCTGAGGTCACAGGACTCATGGGGAATTC